>NC_000002.12:17206725-17358240 GCF_000001405.40 Homo sapiens | reverse complement strand
TGTGGGGATCAAAGATGTATATAGCCAAATCCTATCTCCCTACTGATGTTGTCATTATGACCTTAAAATGACAATGTAAAAGGTTTATCTTAGCTTAATTTTTTTTGACACAGGATCTTGCTCTGTCATCCAGGCTGGAGTACAGTGGCACAATCTCATCTCACTGCAGCCTCTGCCTCCCAGGCTCAAGTGATCGTCCCACCTCAGTGGGACTACAGTCATGCGCCACCACACCCAGCCAACTTTTGTACTTTTTGTAGAGATGGTGTTTCACCATGTTGCCCAGGCTGGTCTTGAACTTCTGGGCTCAAGCGATTCTACTGTCTTGGCCTCCCAAAGTGCTGGACTTACAGGTGTGAGCCACCATGCTCGGCCTAGCTTTGCATGTTTTCATCTGAGCATGTGCATGTGTTTCTGGTTTAACATCCATTTCAGATACCTAATTGATGCCTCTCAGGGCCAGTCCCTGTACCAGGGGCTTCAGGAGTTCCAAGAAAAATGAAGTGCTTCATTCTCAAGTAAAAATTTTATTCTCTGTTATAGCAATTCCAGACATAATGGGGAGGTAGGATTGGGGAAGGAGGTCTAATTTGTAGAGTGTGAGAGACTTTATCTAGCTCTCTGAATTTGCGCCCACAGGGGCTATGAAAACAATACACGCTATAAAGGATGACACCGGGTGTTTAGTATGGCAGAGATCACACTGCTTTTCAGGGAGAATAGCCAACAATAGAAGCTTTATCAACCAAGTGACACTTGAGTCACTTGAGCCATTTCTAGAAACTGGTTGGAATTTTGACTAATGGAAATGAGCAGGGAAGGCACAGCAAGTAGAAGAGAAATGAAATAGGCAGCAGAAAGATGGAAGAATGTTCGGGAATGCTGAATGGACAAGATCGGCCAAAGCACAGAGCCAAAGTAAGGGAATGGCTGGAGATAAGGCTACAATTATTGGTTTTGGCCACATTGTGCTGTGCCTTGGATCTGAAGAACTAGAAATTAATTCAGTAGCTAATGAGAGTCATTAAAGGCTTTTGTACAGAGAAGTGATAGGATTAACATTCCACATTGGGATTAATTCTGAAAGAATGCATAGTATATATTGATGGGGCAAAGAAAGACGGAAGAGGTTAGTTAAAATGTTATTACAGTTTTTCATTTCATGTTAGAAGTAATGAATGAGGCAGTAGGAGTGGAATTGCAAAAGAGATGATGGATTTTTGGGGCCATTACCAAAAGTGGAATGTTTGGGAGTTTTCAATTGGCCATAAGGGATTAAGTGAGAAATACAAAATAATTCCAAGCAATTCATACCTTGATAATAAGACTGAAGGTCAGAATGCCATTTGTGGAGTACCACTTTCTGCTTGGAGACTTCCTTCCCCATCCTATTCTGCTCATTACTTAGAAAGGCTTTTCTCTCTTCTGCATTCTTGTACATAATTCCATTAGAGCATTTATAAAGCTTTTCATCACTTAAATTGGACTTCATTTAGTGGTGATTTTGATTGTAAGTCTCCATGAAGGCATCCCCCAGGCCTCTAACAAAGTACCTTACATGTAGTAGGTCTGCTGTCCGCACTTACCTTTCTCAGAAGATTGTATGAAGGTGAAAAAGTTAAGGAGAGTTCAGTTCAATGCCATATTTGTTGAGTACCAGTTATGACGTAAAGTGTAGATTTGGAGATAAAATAAACATGATCACTCCCTCAAGGAGCATTAGGAGCCACAGGCACATAATTAAGTCATTGCAATACATGGAAAGGTATTGTAAGAGACACTTGGGTGGGGAGCTGTGGGAACAGAGAAGGGAGACACAGTTTCACAGAGAGTGAGGGAGGCTGAGTTGGGGGTGGATTTTAGAGAAGTCAACAGCACTGGATGTGAAGTAGTTTAAGAGAAGCTTTATGGTGGAGAAGGGGTAAAGAATATAAGTGATATTTTTGTTGTTTTGGAGAAAACGATCCAGAGTAAAGGAAGAAAGCAAACATGAGAAAGAGATAGGAGAGACAGAAATTTTTATTTTGTGGGGCTAACACATAGAGATATCTGGTGTATGTGTCGGGGGTAGGGTGAGGGAGTTACAAGACATCACTATATTCTGTAATTGACTGCCACAAATGTTATTTTCCTGAACACATTACTAAGTGCCTTTCTACTTTCAGTTAGATATGTAAATGATCATCATCATTTTTCTTCTATCCAAACTGGGGGATATAATTGTGGGTTTGTGGGAGCTCACCTAAGGAGAGGAGATGTACTGACGACTGAAGTTTTGTTAGATTCCTGGTCAACTTACAGTTTTTTTGGAGGAGCAGACTGGAGAATGGTGGAAGAACGGTTGTGCGGTTCACCCTCTCAGCCTTTAGAAAAATGAGGTAATTATTAACTTTAGAAATAACAAAGGCATCGTTCTGTAGATACATGAGTCAAAAGGAAAAGCAATTCTTATTTTAGGATGGTGTCCTGAAAGCAGAATGGAAATGACTCAGCAAAATGAAACAGAAATATAAGGGATGTGTTTTGATTCACCCAAAAATTTTGACTGAAGAGGTAAATATTTGGAGAAACCTTTAACTTCTTATGGATTAAAGTGATGATTCTGTGTTGAGAAGGAAAAGAGTTCTTATCTAATTTCTGGGGAAGAAGAGAGGATGATGTGTTGAGAAAAGTTGGATCACAAAACGTTAGTTGATAATGTAACTATTTTCTGAGAAGACTCAATCCCAGAAATAATGTTCCCATTTGCAATCTGACACCTAGAACCTACCCAACACAGAAAATAGTCTAATTCTAGGATTAAAACATATTTAGTAATAATAAATCAAACCTTTTTTAATGCAAAAATCAGTAATAAAATAGATTATTTTAAAAATTTGTATGTATTGAGTTGGTAGTGGGATGGAATTGATACATGTTTATTAAACCTTCCATTGAATTTTATAAAATTGGGGTAATTAAAAAATTACCTTATTAACTGAATAAGGATTTTAGAAATTCTTTAACAACTCTATTTTTAAATATCAAATCTAGTGTTCTTTTCATTGAAAGGATTTAAACTTCCTTCACTAGAGCTTCCGTCTTAGCATCTTTGTGAAGCATTTTCTGAGTCATCCATTTTTAATTATCTCTCCACTTTGAATACATTTTCCATACTTTTATTGTAAATATAGCATTCTGACAGAAAAGTGCATTAAACTTATATGTGCAATTTAACAAATAATTATCAACCTAACACTGGGATAACCATTATCCAAATGAAGACATAGTGGATTGCATTGTCAGCTTTGTGATAATCACTTACTTGGTTGGCATTATAGTTTTATTATTTATGTTTGTAAATGATAGAGTTTAATTTTGCCTATTTTGAGACATTATACAAATCAAGTCACACTGAATATGCTGTGTCTTACATCTTTTTGCACTGTATTATATTTTTGAGAATCATTCCTATTATTGCCTGCAGCTGTAATTTATATTCTTTGCTGTATGGTAATCCATTGCATGATTTCAGCACAACTTGAGCATTATTCTATTGATAGTAATTTTGGTTGTCTACAGTTTGGGGCATTATGAAAAATGCTGCTGTGCACATCCTTTTTCATGTGTCCTGATGCATGTGTGTATAAGTTACTCTAGAGCAGTGGTTCTTAAAGTGTGGCATCTGAATCTACAACATTCATATCACCTGGGAACTTAGCAATGAAAATTCTCAGGTCCCACCCCAGACCTACTCCATTGGAAACACTGGAGGTGGGGCCAAGCAATCTGTGTTTTAAGTAGCCTTCCAGATGCTTGTGATGCATATTAAAGATTGAGAACCACTATAGTGTATATCTAGGATGAGAATTGGGTCTTAAGTTATGCATATCTTAAACTTTGCTAGATAAAGTCAACTGTTTTATTGAGTGGTTATATCAACTTACGCTATGACCAGCAGTGTATTATATTTGTCCATGACTTGATTGCATGGAAACCTGGTGTCCTGTTGTAAGATGCAAGGTTTTTGAATTTCAAACTTGCTTATAAAAATTCAAATGCATTGTTATTTATTCATGGGTACTAATGCATTCTTATTTTTCTCGACTATGAATAAGCAGATATTAGACAGTTATTGCTTTTTCACTCTGGACAAGGATTAATTTTTTTAATCAATTTTAATCACCATTTGATATAAAATTAATTAATTAATTTGTGAATAGGTGATGTATGTGAAGGGTACACATTTCAAAAGTTGCAAAAATGCATGTACACGTTGAAAATAAGTCTCCCTCCAATTCTGTCTTTTGGTCACATATTTCCCCTTCTAAGCAAACCATGGTGATCAGTTTACCAGTAAGGATTTAAAAATAGTTTCTCTATGTGCTTATCCTGAGTCATGTAGGATTAGAGGTGCCTGTTTTATCCTCCCATAACTCTATGGCTTATCTTTGTCATGGAATTTATAACATTGAATTGTAATTATTTACATTTCTGCATCCCATTCTATACTGGGAGATCTTTGGGTGTGAAGATTAAATTTTATTATACTCATATCCTTAGTACAGGTAGCGCCTGGTATAGCAAAGGCAATTAATAAAAATGTGACACCTAAATGAATTACACCCATAATTTTTTCCTTTTGGCTCTGATGCTGTCTTAAGTTTGAATGTCTGGCTTTCTCAACTGATTTTTCTTTCCCAGCATGTCTCCCTTTGGGTGATGTTTGTAGAATGGTATCTCATGATTAATGTGACTCTGTGCACACAGATAAATAGCTAATGAGCTTTGTTGGCCTTTAGAGCCTGGAGTCAGGAAGATGGCCATTTTCTTTATCTCTGCTTTCCTCTGAGAGGCTGCAAAGGACAGTGTGGCTTCCCTGCTTTGAAAAGGCTTCTAAACACTGCAGTTTGCAGAATACATCCATTATCATTGATTACACAGCAACAGGACATCCATTTGATTAGGGGAAATGATTACTAAGGATTTTGTACTAGTAAAGCCAATGTTTGCTAAATAGGAGTTTTAATCTTTTTACCTAAGTGAGGTTTCTTTTCCTGCAAATCTACTGAGTTGCATGTTTCTGAGCATTCTGGGGTTCAGTCTGTCTTTACTGGTCTCACTTTTATTGAAACCTTTTTCTTTGAATCTAACTAGGCAGCATTTTAGGGACCTTGCTGAGTTTAGGGAAAGGATTTTAGTTCTGTTATCTCCGGCTACAGTTGAATGTTGGGAAATTATCTTTTAAAGTCTGTATTTGTCAAAATAACAGCTCAGTATTATCACTAGCAGATTGATCTTTCTATCTTTAGTGTAAAGAAAATGTAATTTTTTTGCTTTTTCTTTTTATTATTGTGAATTTGAGGGTATTTTTCTTGAGGTGCAAGGTCTGAGAAAAATTTACTTGAAGCTTGTGTTGGGTTGATACAGCCAGTTAACAGTTTAGGTCTTTGACTTGTGTTGTGTGTGTATGAAAGAGAGAGGACGTTGCCTGGAATTGTCCTATTTCTGGTGTGTTGCAGCACAAACTGCCTGGAAGGAAACCCCTTTCCTTTGAAAAAAAGTCTATGGCATGGCTGGGTACCGATAAAATACTGTTCTTCAAGTTAAGTCCGGTTGAAATTGCCATTATGACCTTATTTTCAATTCAAGTTTTTGTATCTACTAAGGAAGAGAGTTACTTGGCTTGGTAGAAAGGACAGCGGTTACCAAGAGCCAGGAAAAAAATGAGAATTTGGCCCTTATGAAATTGATATGTCATTAAAAAGAATGAGGTAGAACTACATATGCTGTTCTAGAAAACTGTCCAAAGTATATTGCTACTGATACTAGAAGGCTGCAAAATATTATTTTTATGATAATCTCATTTATATGTTTAAAAGGGGTATTTATACACATCAATGTTAGGTGCCTGATTTTTCACAAGGACCAGACAAGGCTGGTTACTTCTGGGTAGTGGAGGTAGGACTTGGGCTAACATTGCAGAGAGAGATGAAACAACTTTTTTTTTTTTTTTACTTTTAAAAGAAAAATGTTTTGCCATGTGTTAGTATCATTTTTATGAAAAATAAAAGGAACATTAGATAAGTGTACACAAACTCCAACTGTGTGGTACCTTATATAAGACACTTGATGGTTTAAACTTTAGTTTCATTATCTGAAATGATCAATGATAATTACTTCAATAACTATTGCTTGGAATTTTCCTATTTTTTTGTGTGCTGCATTATAAACAACATAAATGAAAACCTTTCCTTTGAAAAGGAACATGGCCATATGTTTCTTTGTGGCATCACCAGATACTGATAAAATACTGTTTTTCAACTTAAGTCCTGTTGAAATTGATATTATGACCTTTTCCTCACTTCAATTTTACGAAACTGCTGAAGAAGAGAGGTACCTCTTGCTCATGAGGCTGTTCTGTAGGTTAAATGGAGAAATTATTTTAGTAAATATTTTTGAAAAGACATTGTACTTCAATGTTGTCAGGAGTCCAAACAGGCTTGCTTCTTTAAAGAATGTAGACTGAGAAGAAAGCAAAGACATTCAAAGACATAGACTTTGAAAGTAACTCTTCTTCATTTCATCTTCTCTAGTGCCAAGCATCTATGAATATTATGGCCTGTCCTTAAATTCTATGCACCTATTTTTTCTCATGTATTCAATGGAGATAATAATGGCCCATGCCTACCTGTGCTGCTTTTTCCAAGAAGAAAATGACTGAATAAATAGGAAAACTCTTAACATTAATAGAGCCCTACAGAGGGAGGGAAATAGTGGTTTTTAAGGAAGAAATAAAACATGATCTGAAGTTGGTTGTTGAAGGCTAGAACCATGTCTGATTAACTAATTTGTATAATTCCAGCACCTAGCACAATCCTTGGAAAATTGTAGGTGCTTATGAACTGTTTGTTGAATAAATCAGTAACTGTTTTGATGAATGCTCTTATCTATCTAAATTTTAAGGACATACAGGGAAAATAATAGTTAAGGAAGCTAGCCATTAGCATTTCTTGTTCTGCAAGTATTTGGAGAAGAAAGAGAGTGGAACAGTATGATGGACTGGATGTTAGTATCCCTCCTGCCAAAAATTCATATATTGAAGTCCTAATTCCCAGCTTGATGGCATTTGGAGATGGGGCTTTTGGGAGGTAATCAGGGTTAGATGAGGCTGCAAGGGTGGGGCCCTCATGGTGGGATTAGTGCCCTTATGATAAGAGACAACAGAGAGCTTGCACTCTCTCTGTCTCTACTATGTGAAGACAGAAAAATGGAGGTTGTCTGCAAGCCAAAAGAAAAGCCCTCCCCAGAACTGAATGGGCCAGCATTTTGATCTTAAACTTTCCAGACACCAGAACTATAAGAACATAAATTTATGTTGTTTAAGCCACTCAGTCTATGGTATTTTGTTATGGCAGCCCAAGCAGACTATTACAGATAGGTAAGGGTAACATTAATTTAAGATCTAACTGCCAGTAAAGTACTTTGCATAAATTATTTCATTTAACTATCATATCTAATTTGGTATATATTATTTATTTTACTTTACTCAAAAGGAAACTGAGGCAAAGAGAGAGACTAAGTAATTGCTTAGTAAGTGGTAGGGCCAGGATTTTAGTGAAAATCTGTCTGAAAAATCCATTTTTTTTCTTAAATACTCACAGTGCTGGGGACAGTTGAAATAATTTTTCTCTCTAAGGTCTGGATGTTTCTTCTTTTATTGTCTTTTTGATCTCATGTTTAGGTTAGATACTAATGACATTGGAAACCACAATGCTCACAGACTATTATCAGTGAATTTGTATTTTTTTAAACAGAAAGGCCTTTCCTTAGGAATCTTGGACTGTTGTTTTAAATGCACATATCACTTTTGTCTTGGGGATAAAGTGAGAAGTAGGAATCTAATTTATTTTTGAACTTGTGAGCTGCAGCTGCGTCCAATAGTATTTATCTATTAATTCTTGCTTTTCTCTCTAATTTGAAATAGTATTGTCTTTATCATATAATTTCTTCTTTTATATATGTGAGGGGATATGTTTTGTTCTTTTGGTCTGTCGTATTCAAATGACAATGCTACTCTTAAATTATAGTGACTATAAAATAAATTTTAATATCAAATACCTAATTATCCCTCATTGTTATAATTCTAGAAAAGTCTTATTTTTATGTGGTCACTCTTTAAAATTTTTAAAAATTTACAAATGAAACACAAACATGTATTGAAATTTCACTACATTTGTAGATCAATGTGTATATAACTCACCTCTTTAAAATATCATCTTAACTAAAAAAATAGCATTTATTCTATGCTTTTGTTACCCTCAGGGAAGTCTGTGGTTTTCCTTGTATAGGTTGTATACCTTTCTTACTGAGTTAATCTAAAGAGTTCTTGTTATATTTTCTCTTTTGTTATTGTAAACATATAGAAAAATACTGATTTCTAAACATTTATTTCATAACTAACCATATTATTGACTACATTTCATTTTGTAGTCTTTCACTTGGTTTCTCATACAGGCAATCAAATCATTACCAATAATAGTAATTATATTTGGTTATTTTTAGTACTTGTGCCTCATTACTTGAAAAAATAGTAATGTTAGTAATCATCTTTATTATAATTGGGAAAGTGGGTTTAGTGGGTTTTCATCATTATATGATATTGTTTATTGATTTAAGATAGATATTATTTAGGAGCTGTTTTTCTGAGTACTAAAGTAATCCACAAAAATAAAATGTAGCAATATATAAATAATACAGATTATTTACGTTGAAAGGTTTCTCATAATTCCCACATCTTGAGGTAACTATTGTTGATAATTTATTATCTAGACTTACAGGTTTTTTGTAGTTTGATCAGTTTTTAGTACATGTTTCCAGTTGTACAATTATCACTACAATTCAATTTTAAGACATTTCCATCAACCCCTAAAATTTTCCTTGTACCTTCTTGTTTTCACTGCCCACTCCCACCCCAGCCCATGCAACTGCTGGTCTGCTTATGTCTCTATAGTTTTACCTTTTACTTGTCTTTTCAAATGATTGCATAGTGTTCTACTACATGGATGTATTGAAATTTATTTAGCCAATCTTCTATTATAAATAATAGTGCAAAGAACATCATGGCACATGTACATTTGCATAATTTTGTATTTTTATAGGTGATATGGTTAGGCTTTGTGTCCCTGATATGGTTTGGCTGTGTCTCCACCCAAATCTCATCTTGAATTCCCATGTGTTGTGGAGGGACCCAGTGGGAGGTAACTGAATCACGGGGCAAGTCTTTCCCATGCTGTTCTCATGATAGTGAATAAGTCTCACTAGATCTGATGGTTTTAAAAAGAGAAATTCCCCTGCACAAGATCTTTCTCTTTGCCTGCTTCCATCCAAGTAAGACGTGACTTGCTCTTCCTTGCCTTCCGCCATGATTGGGAGGCTTCCCAGCCACGTGGAACTGTAAGTCCAATTAAACCTCTTTTTTTTTTTTTTTTTTTTTGTAAATTGCCCAGTATCTGGTATGTCTTTATCAGCAGCGTGAAAACAGACTAATATAGTCCCTACCCAAATCTCATCCTGAATTGTAATCCCCATAATCCCCATGTGTCAAGAGAAAGACCAGGTAGAGGTAGTTGAATCATCGGACAGTTTCCCTGTGCTGTTCTCATGATAGTAAGTTCTCACAAGATCTGATGGTTTTATAAGGACCTCTTCCCCATTTGCTCAGCACTTATCCTTCCTGCTGCCTTGTGAAGAAGGTGCCTTGGTACCCTTTCGCCTCTGCCATAATTGTAAGTTTCCTGAGACCTCCCCAGCCATGCTGAACAATGAGTCAATTAATCCTCTTTCCTTTATAAATTACCCAGTCTCAGGCAGTTCTTTATAGCAATTTGTATTTGCACTACCAATACATGAGTTTTCTCATATCCTCAATATCACTGAGAATTAATACTCATTTTGATTTTTGCCATTCTAGAAGGTGAGCTCTGATATAGTGCTTTAGTGCACGGACTCAGAAAGTGGATGAGGTAAGTCTAAATCTTGTCCTTATACTAACTAGTTGTGTAATATGAGTAATATTTTATAGTTTTATAATATGAAATACATCAGATTATTATTATTTATTCAGAGGTATCTGTTGAAATTCTAAAAGAGAACTTCCATAATATTTTCCAATGGTTGTTTTGGTATGTATATGTAGATTAGATTTAGATACGTTAATATAGATATACTATGTATTATTGTATCCTACTTTCATGCTATCTTACTATTCTGAGTAGGTAATAAAACTCCTTAACATTTTATTCCACTTGCTTGAGTTTCTATTACCTCCTTTATGTGATTCAGCTCCAAGGGCAGGATAATACTTTATCTTTGAATGTCCAGAATCCACTACATTTTCTGAATATAACAAGAACTTAATATTTGCTTAATCATTTATTGATTGAATGAATGAATACGCAAATAAAATGTTTTTGGGCATAAAGACCTTTCATTCCCTTTCATATGAGGTTATGCAAATAACTGCCAATTTTGTTTAGAATTAACAGCAAAAGTTCTGAGAATACAAACAAGCAATATTTCAGGTGTTCCTTCTGCCATCCTACTATTGAAAGAAGAATTTTTAAAACATCCTAAACTTCATTTTGGGAGCTCTTGAAAGGCCATTTCTATTTATTTTCAGGAAGAGTGCAATATTGGCAGCAGTATGCAATTTCCTTTCTTCTTGTGTGTGACAAACAGCATAACTTCCTCACTATAATCTGGTTTGAAAGTTGAGGACACTGCTCTGGCTAGAGAATTGACTTTGCTGATGAGCCTCTGGTCAACATTTTCAGCTAAGACATTCATGAAGCTGTGTAAGAGAGAAAGGCTCATCACCTTTGCAGATGACACAAGCCTTTTATGCGGGAATCAAAGAAGAACATGAGAGGCCAGAACACCGGATTGAAACCAGCAATTTGACCTTTAAAAGGTATAAAGTACTGCTTTTAGGTTTAAATAGTTAACTGCACAAGCCAGAGACACACAGCTTGGTAGCACACTTCTAGCAAAAAATCCTTTGCTTTTAATTGACTGCAAGATCAATTTATCTCCGAGTAGCCCATGAGAGCTAATACATGAAACCCAAACTTAGCTTTACTAATTGGTACATAGTAGGGGTGCTACTCTTTTCTGCTGGTGTGAAATCATAACTGAAATTTTGGACTCAGTTTCTAATAAAAATTTAGGAAGAACCTTAATCAATTGTAACTGCAGAAAAAAAATCACATGATTTTGAGTGAATTAAATATCATGTTTTCTCATTTTATAAGCTATGGTTAAAAAACTGGATATATCCCAGAAAAATGAATTTTTAGAAATTCGGTGGAACTGTGATCTGAGAAAATGGTTGTGAAAATGGGACAATTCTCATTTAATTTTCAGTTTGTCCTCAGAAGACAAAGATAACAAAAATAAAGTTATAGGAGGCAAATTTTGCATAACAGTGAACTATCAATAGAGATAATAAGTGACAAAACTTTGAGGTTAGTGTCATCATGACCATTGTGTTACCAGGGGTCCTTGCTCCCAGAGCTCCCAAGATGGTGGTGGGCCACTTCCAAAATGGCAGCAGGCCACTTCAACATGGTGGCAAGTCTCATGTTCTCTGACCTGGGGTTTTTGGCCTCATGGATTCCAAGGAATGGAATCTTGGGCCATAAGGTGAGTGTTATAGCTCTATTAGAAGTCGTGGGTCATGGAAGAGAACTGTGGAACCCAGTGACTAGTGTTCAGCTTGATTAGGACGAACCCAGGCACTTAGCGATGCAGGAACAATGGCAAGCCTTTAGCCAGATCGGGAGCGGCAATGGGTGCCTCACTGGATCAGGAGCACAGTGGACACCCTGCTGGATCCAGAAGAATGGAAGTCAGCAGTGGGTCTGCGACGGCGGCAAAACAGCAGTGGTAGATGGCGAGTGAAAGTTCAGCTCAAGCAGTAACAAACATGCACCAGAAGAGTGCAGTTGCAAGATTTAATAGAGTGAAATAGAGTGAAAACAGCTCCCATACAAAGGGAGGGGACCCAAAGGGGGTTGCTGTTGCCAGCTCGAATGCCTGGGATTATATCCCAATCCTTGTCCCTCCTGCTGTGCTCTCAGGCAATAGATGATTGGCTATTTCTTTACCTCCTGTTTTTGCCTAATTAGCATTTTAACGAGCTCTCTGATCTGTTGGGTGTGAGCTAGGTTGCAAGCCCCGTATTTAAAGGTGGATGTGGTCACCTTCCCAGCTAGGCTTAGGGATTCTTAGTCAGCCTAGGACATCCAGCTAGTCCTGTCTCTCAGTACCCCCTCTCAATAGGAAAACCCAAGTGCTGTTGGGGAGGTTGGCTGATGAATGCTCTAACTGCTTCCTGCTGAATTGGGGTGTAATAGGGGTTGTGCAGTTGCGATTTCCTCGGGAGGGGTGCCTTCCATGTCATTAACATCAGAGCATGGGCTAGCAGGCTTGTCCAGGGGTCCGCGGTAGATCTTAGTCATGGACTACATCTGGGGCTCCATTTGAAGAACTATTTGTAGTTTTACAGCTTTGATTCTGGAAGAGACAAACTTAACAAGGAGGTTAAAGATACAGGGATTGAAATGTATGGCCTGCAGTGCAGGGGATTACTTGTTTGGCACACTTTACAGGCCCTGACTATCTGCTTGATAGTTTTGAAAAGGCCTGGTCCAGTAAATAATAATTTGGCCATCTGATGGGTGCTATCAATGCCTAAGGGAAATGTTTGGTGAAGGGTTTTAAGTAATTTCCATTGGTTAGCTGCAGGCAAAAGTATTTTTCCTTCTTCAGTGGCTAGCCATCCTGAGGGGAGGAAACTATGTGCTTGTGAGGTTCCTCATTCTATTTCTTCTTCTGAGTACTGGGGCTTGGTTTCCTGGAGGGGATTACCCCATACTAGGGGTCCTTCTATAAGCATTTCTAATGGAGGGTCCTGCCTTGCGGCTCTTTTGGCTTCAATATCCGCTTGGTGGTTCCTTTCTATTTCCCTTTCCTTTCCTTTCTGGTGACACCGGCAGTGTAAGATTGCCACCTCTTTATGTTTCTGTACAGCCAATAGTAATCTCCTAATGGCTTCCTGATGTTGGATAGGTGTTCCCTTGGAAATTAGGAATTCCCTTTCTCTCCATATTGCTGCATGGGCATGGAGGACTAGGTAAGCATACTTAGAGTCTGTATATATTTACCCTTTTCTCTTCTCCTAATTCTAGTGCCCGAGTGAGGGCTATTAGTTCTGCCAGCTGAGCACTAGTTCCTGGAGTGAGGGGATTACTTTCAAGTATTCCATTATCACTGACCACTGCATACCCCACTTTTCAAAGTCCTTTTTCTACAGAGGAACTTCCATCAGTATACAAGTTGAGGTTGGGATCAGTCAAGGGAACCTCTAAAAGGTCCCCTCGAGTGGCATAGGTTTGAGCAATTACTTGTTGGCAGTTATGTTCTATCTTTTCTTCATTGTCTGGAAGAAATGTGTCTGGGTTAAGAGTTGCACAAGTGCACAGTCGCAGCACTGGCCCTTCAAGTAATAGAGCCTGGTATTTAAGTAAACAGTTGTCTGACAGCCACAAGTCTCCTTTAGCAGTGACTATGCCATTCACATCATGAGATGTTCACACAGTAAGATCTCTTCCCTGTATTATTTTAACTACTTCAGATACTAAGACTGCTACTGCTGCCACTACCCGTAAACAATGAGGCCAACCCTTTGCCACTACATCAGTTTCCTTACTCAGGTATGCCATGGGTTGCAAGCTCATCCCTCAGACCTGTGTAAGGACTCCTAGAGCTATTCCTGTTTCTTCTGTGACATATAAAGAAAAGTCTTGCCCTGTTGGCAAGCTTACCACTGGGGCTTGGGTTAGGGCCTTCTTTAAGGCCTGGAAAGCCGCTTCTGCTTAAGGTGTCCATCTTACTAAATGGGTATTGGCTTTCTGAGTTTCCTTAATTAGTGTGTATAATGGCCTGGCTATTTCACTGTACCTGGGAATCCATATTCAGCAGCAGCCTGTTATGCCAAGGAATGCTCTTAGTTGCTTTAGGGTTTTGGGATGAGAATAAGCCAGTATAGGCTGGATACGTTCCTCACTGAGGGCCCTGGTGCCTTTGGATAATTTTAGCCCTAAGTATTTAACCTGCTGTGAGCAGAGCTGAGCCTTTCGTTTGGAAACCTGTAGCCACAGGTAGCGAGGAAATTTAAGAGCACTTGGGTGGCTTGATGGCACAACGTTTCTGAATGGGTAGCTAAAATTAAATCATCCCCATACCGAAGGATAAGAGTGTCCAGGTATGAGAATTGGCTCAAGTCTTGGGCTAATGCCTGGCCAAATAGATGGGGGCTATCCTTGAACCCTTGGGGTAAAACAGTCCAGGTGAGTTGAGACGTTGGGTTCAAAGGATCTTCAAAGGCAAACAAGAATTGAGAGTCAGGACGTACAGGGATGCAGAAAAAGGCATCCTTAAGGTCCAGGACTGTAAACCACTCTGCTTCCTCTGGTATTTGGGAAAGCACTGTATAAGGGTTAGGTACAGCTGGGTATAGAGGAACAACAGCCTCATTGATAATCCTGAGTTCTTGCACTAACCTCCACTGTCCGTTGGGTTTCCTTACTCCTAAAATTGGAGTATGGCAGGGGCTATTGCATGGTTTTACTAGGCCTTGGGCTTTTAGGTCCTTAACAATCTTTTGGAGTCCTTGTTGGGCCTCGGGTCTAAGGGGGTATTGCCTTTGGTAGGGAAAGGAGGCGGAATCCTTTAATTTAACTTGAACAGGATGGGCATTCTTTGCTCATCCATATTGTCCTTCTGTTGCCCAGACTTCAGCATTAATTCCTTCCTCAAGCAGGTGACAACAAACGGGTGTTCCTTCTCCTATGTTCAGATGTATAATGGCCCCTGCTTTTGCTAGAATGTCTCTCCCTAACAAAGGAGTGGGGCTTTCAGGCATAATTAGAAAAGCATGTGAAAAGAGTAAAGTTCCCCAGTCACAACTTAGTGGCTGGGAGAAATATCTAGTGACTGGCTGTCCTAGGACCGCTCAGATAGTGACAGATCTGGAGGACAGTTGTCCGGGACAGGAAAGTAAGACTGAGAAGGCTGTGCCAGTGTTCAGGAGACAGTTAACCTCCTGGCCCTCAATGGTCAAGCATACCCGGGGCTCTGTGAGGGTGATGGCATGGGCTGGGGCTTGCCCTGGGCACCCTTAGTCCTGCTGCTGGATCATCTGGTTAGTGGCTTCTGACTCAGAGGACCTTCCTCCCCTGGGGCAATGGGCCTTCCAGTGATTCCCTTGACATAAGAGGCATGGACGAAGGGGCAGCTTATTTCTACTTGGACAATCTTTTTTTAAGTGTCCTTGTAGACCACACTGGAAGCAAGCCCTATTAGGCATTCAATTTGCCCAGCTTTTCCCTTTTCCAGAGCTTCCAAAGTCCACTTGCCTGAGGGCCATGACTAAAGCGGTGGTCTTTTTTTAATCCTGTTTGTCCTGTTCCGCCTGCTCCTCCTGATCTCTATTATAAAAAACTGAGGTTAACAAGTTCAATAGGGTTTCTAAGTTTTGCTCTGGGCCTAAGGTGGACTTTTGAAGTTTTTTCTAATGTCTGCAGCTGACTGAGTGATAAACATATCCTTTAAGATTAGTTGGACTTCAATACAGTCAGGTGACAGAGAGGTATGCTTCCTCAATGCCTCCCTTAGTATTTCCGGAAAGGCAGTATGATTTTCTTCCTTTCCCTGTGTTATAGTGGACATCACTGAATAATTCATAGGCTTCTTCCTAGTTTTCCTTAGTCCTAGCACGCAAGTTAGCAAATATCTGCGGCACCGATCTCCATGTTCTTATTCTGTGTCCCAGTGAGGGTCTACACTGAGAACTGCCTGCTGGCCTGTGGGGAATCATTCCCTTTCCTCTGTTGTCATCCTATCATTGACCTGACTGAGATACCAGAGATTGCCAAACTCTTGGGCTGCAGCTATGGTGACACTTCTCTCATTTGGGGTTAGTGTCTGATTTAGCAGTAACATTATATCTCTCCATGTCAGAGCAAAGGATTGTCCTAACCCTTGTAAAACATCAATATAGCCATCAGGGTTATCTGAGAATTTACCTAGGTCTATTTTAATTTGCTTTAAGTCTGAGAGAAAAAAAAAGGTACATGCACTCTGGCTGGGCCGAATTCTCCTCCTCCCACTGCCTGGAGGGGGCATAATCAGGGAATATTGGCACTGTTTGGTTCATTGTTTATCCCTTCATCTATCTCCTTTGGACCATTTGGGTAAAAGGGGGGTCCTTATTAGTTGGGAAAGGAATCGGGGGGACCCTGGGATAGGGAGGTAGACTGAGGGCTTTCTGTAGGGCATAAATCACACTTTTTACATAATTGCGAGTTGTCTCTTAATGAAAGGAAAGTTTGCACTTCACTCCATTTGCCCTCCTTTCTACAGAAGAGGTCTCACTGTAAGATGGTGTTATAATTTATACTTCTCTCAGGAGGCCAGGTTTCTCCCCCTTGAAGAGGATATCATGGTACTGCAGAAGAATGTAAGTCATTTCTTTCTTAGTGTCTGAGGGTCAAATTGGTCCTAATTCTCCAAAATACATCTTAGGGGTGTTTTTTGCCTTGGGGTGGGAGGAACGTTTCCCATCTGAAAAAAGAACATAGGGATGTCAGCACCCCTAGTCATTTTCCGATGAGCATTAGTCCTAGAGCATCCTCTAAGGGCCTAATGCGTATTCTTTTCCAGGGTGCATAACCACCCATGGACCTCTGCTTACTGGATTAGTTATGCTCACTGATGTAGCAGTCCTGCACCTGTTTTCCCGCCTCTCTTGACCACAAAGAAAGGGGTCCGGGCTGCTGGATTCTAGTGGTCCTTTACCAGCGTGCCCAACATTGCCTTTTGCGCTCAGGGGTGAGTCCTAGAGCCGGGCTGGGGTCCTGAGTATTTCATAACAACCCAGCTGCCCCATCAAGATGCCTTCCCATAAACAACAGTTCTTATGCAAATTTGTTTCACAGAGGGTGTAGCAAACCTTTTGAGTCAGGATTCAGAGTCTTTTTGATTCTGTAAGTACTTTAAGGCTTGGCTGAGTGCAAACAGCTTACACGTTTGAGGAGACCAATTATTAGGCAATTTTTCTAACTGCTTCCACATGAGTCTCTGTATCAATTACTGAATACCCATTGTGGTTTTTTTCCTCAATCACCTGGGAGGAACCGTTTATCGTCCTGTCCTGAAGGGAGTTCCTCCTAGGTCTGGTGGGACCTTTGTATGGTAATTAAGTTTTAAATCCCCTGTTAGGAAATCTGCTGGGTTAAGGGAATTATCAGTGGTTGGAGTTACATTACCCTTTTCTAATATGATAGACCTATACTTTAAGATTTTTGAGTTAGTAAGTTACCTTTTTGCTTTTTTTTTTTTTGACTTAGAATAATTCTGAACTGGTGAGGTGTGCGCTCACAATGAGGTTTCCTCTAAAAGTTACTTTTCTACTTTTAGCAAAGCGGTTGCTGCTACCGACTGAATGCATTTGGCCCATCCGCGGATTACTGGGTTAAGGATTTTTGATGGGAAAGCTACGGGTTGTCAGTGACCTCAGTGCTTTTGGGCTATGCCCTTATTTACACTGACAACAAAATGGCATTGGAGTGTTACAGGGTCACGGAGAAGACCTTCAATTATCAATTACAGGTTTTAAATTTACCCTGGCTTTTAAAGGAATAGGGCACACTTTTTTTTCTACTATTTCTTTTTCTTTCTTTTTCTCTTTGACTCCCTCCTTGTCTCTCTCTCCATCTCTCTCTCTCTCTCTGTGTCTCTCTCTTAGCCATTACAAACTTGGGGCCCTGGCAAGTGTGGTGGGGAATGGGTCCTACATAACTGCCCATGTTGAGAGTTGTATACCCAAATCGGGAGGGACACCAGGGATAAGACTCCTTGGGTTATAGCCTAGGTGCCTAAGGATGCAGCGTAGAGCCTCCTTAGATCCCTTTGGAGACACAACTTGCTAGAGGAAATGAAAGTCTGAATCATTAGTACCCAGGAGGCAGGGATCAGAGGAAGTAGATTCAGAGGTAAGGAGAATTTTGGGGCTACACTTTCAAGAAAGTCACAGTCGGGACTCAGGATGTATGGGTCAGAAGGGAAGGTAGGGGCACATGCATCGGCGACTGCTGAGTAGAGACTCCTGGCTGCACCATGATCTCAACCGGCTACTGCCCGGAGTTTGGGACAACAGCTGTCTGCCTCTAGTGAGCCCTCGGCTTCCCCAAGAAAATTGAAAGTGGAAGCTGTCTCCAGGCAGACCAACATCCCCACTAGATGGGTTGGGGGTTGTTAGAAAGTCTTTCCCCAGATAGCCTCACACCTGAGTCTTAAGTGTGGCGGCGACGCTAATTGTTTTTAACTGGCTGACAGGTGCCTGTGCCTGGTATTTTCCTCCAGTTCTAAGGAAGGATAGAACAGAATAGCAAGTGAAAGTGGTCCAATATTACTCACCACTTTGGATGTCCCTTTGTGGTCGCCAAAATGTTACCGGGGGTCCTTGCTCCCAGAGCTCCCAAGATGGTGGTGGGGCCACTTCCAAGATGGTGGCAAGCCTCGTGTTCTCTGACCTGGGGTTCTTGGCCTCATGGATTCCAAGGAATGGAATCTTGGGCCATGAGGTGAGTGTTATAGTTCTATTAGAAGTCGTGGGTCATGGAAGAGAACCGTGGAACCCAGTGACTAGTGTTCGGCTTGATTAGGATGAACCCAGGCACGTAGCCATGCAGGAACAATGGCAAGCCTTTAGCCCAATCGGGAGCGGCAATGGGCGCCTCGCTGGATCAGGAGCACAGTGGACAGCCTGCTAGATCCAGAAGAATGGAAGTCAGCGGTGGGCCTGTGACGGTGGCAAAACAGCAGTGGTGGACAGTGAGGGAAAGCTCAGCTCAAGCGGTAAGAAACACGGACCAGAAGAGTGCAGTTGCAAGACTTAATAGAGTGAAAACAGAGCTCCTATGCAAAGGGAGGAGACCCAAAGGGGGTTGCCGTTGCCAGCTCGAATGCCTGGGTTTATATCCCAATCCTTGTCCCTCCCGCTGTGCTCTCAGGCAATAGATGATTGGCTATTTCTTTACCTCCTGTTTTTGCCTAATTAGCATTTTAGTGAGCTCTCTGATTGGCTGGGTGTGAGCTAAGTTGTAAACCCCGTGTTTAAAGGTGGATGTGGTCACCTTCCCAGCTAGGCTTAGGGATTCTTAGTCGGCCTAGGAAATCCAGCTAGTCCTGTGTCTCAATTGTACACAGAAAGATTCCAAGGCTGATAGGACAAAGGCTCATGGCCCATGGATTTCAGAGCCCAGGCCTCCTAACTCCAATTTTTATGCTTTTATCACCACTTGCCCTCCAAACATGGAACCAGCTGTCCCCTGAGCTAATAAATATTTTTCTAGTCATGGAATATGGTTAAGCAGAGTCTCAACTGAATATCCTTTGGTCATTGATGTTGTATAGGCTATTTTTGAATTGGGCAGGTTATAGGGCCAGATATTTTAATAAGAACACGTCAGATGACAGTGTTTTCTAAACCAATGTCATGTGGACCCTATTCTGCAGGACCTTAAAAAGTGCCATGAAAACAAGCTACTTTAATCACATAAGATTAAGCTTGGGGAGTACTACATTAAGCTAAGTTTCACAGGTTTCTTTACTGTAGAACATCTAAAGCCCTTATATCCTTCAGTGCATTGCAACCTCTTAGACATATTTAAAAAAGAGAATCCTCTCGTAGTACCCACTAATATTTATTGTAACTACTGTGCTGTGGAACACAGTTTGTGTCTCTAGTGGCTCTTTCATTTCTAAGAGATCATGATAACAGATAAAATAATCCAGATTGGTTTGATAATGGCCACTTTTCCTAAAAAAGCAGCTAAAAGTGTGAAAACAAACTAATTCAGCAAAAAAAAACAAACAAGCAAACAAACAAAAAAAGGACTACGGTAAGTAGATAATCAGCTTATTCTTCTTGCATTACTCTCATGGTAATGAACATGAATTTGAGTAACAACTTAAATCTGCATCCTGAGAGCTTATAACCAAGTGGAATATATTCTGTTTTTTCCTTCTCCCTTTTCTTCAGCAGTTCTGATGGGTATCAGGGAAGTTTCCAAATGTGTACACATAGACAGGAGGAAAATTGAAGGGTAGAGGGTACCAGAGGATGAGGTGAAAGAAGATTAATTAGTCCAGGTGCCCTGTATCTAAGTTGAAGGCACTTTCTACCTAAGGCAGCACAGCCTCCAATCAGCCAGAATGGTTCCCGTGAATTTAACAGAACACCTGGAAAAGTCACTGGCAGTTCAAGTGAGTCATTCTCCAGTAGCAGAATTATTGAGCAGGTGAAGTGGTTCAGTTAGGCCTTGTGATAGTTAATTTTATGTATCAACTCGACTAGGCCACTGGGTGCTCAGACATTAGATCAAACATTTTTCTGGGTGTGCCTATGAGGGTATATTGGGATGAGATTTACGTTTGAATGGATAGAGTTAGGAAAGAGGATTGTCCTTCCTAATGTGGGTGTGCCTCATCCAGTCAATTGAATAAATGAATAGAACTAAAAGATTGAGTAAGAGGAAATTGTTCAGCCTGACTGCTTGAGCTGGAACATCAATCTTCTCTTGCCTTTGGGCTTGAACCGTATCATGAAATCTCCTGGTTCTCTAGCTTGCCATCTGAAGATCTTGGGACTTCTCTCCCTCCATAATTGTATGAGCCAATTCATTGTAATTTGTATGTGTGTATGTATCTATCTACCTATCTGTCTATCTATCTATCTATCTATCTATCTATCTATCTATCTATCTGTCTATCTATCATCTATCTACATACCTATTCATCCTATTGATTTGATTTCTCTGGAGAACCCTAAATAACACAGGCTGTCTTTGGATACAAGGAACAGGGACTCACTTAAGTCATCACATGTTATTTGATCATTTTCATGGGAATATGTGCACACAGAAAACTAGAACAAACTGAACACTCTGGTCTTGATAGAGTGGGGCTACAGATGGGATGTTGTGTTCTTAATCTATCCAGCTACTTCATGATGCCTGTTCAAATCTCCACTTGTTAGAGACTTGCTTATTCACATTCTTGATCCTATATTCATTTTTCTGTGCTTCGTAGACCTTGTTTGCTCTTAGATTCTGCTTACTTATAACTTTCCTTTTTATATGATAAAACTCTATCTCATTGCATCCCATCAATTTAGCCTCTACTTCTGTCTCATTCTTCCAGATATAGCAGTTCACTTTTCTGAAGGAGAAAACATAATAGTCCCTGCTTCATCTTTTCACAACAGACCACATTACAAATAACTCATTTTACTATGAACTCAGTTTCTTTGGTTAGATTTCAAAGATCTATCTTGGTCCAATCAGCTAGGACTGGAAAGTACGGGGTCATAGAATATAAAACTTAGCCACCTGGGGCTTTCCTTTCAGTGGAGGTTGTGTATTGGCAGCTTCTCTTAGAAGAACTGTGTTGTGGCTTCAACTGTAATTGTCATGGCTGGAACACTGTGTCTGCACACACAAGGAAGAACAGAGAGAAATGTTGGCATTTGATGGTTGCTTGGTGATAGTGCATCTCGTTTCACTTTATAAAGACATGTGTTTGGCTCCAGTTCTTCATTTTTTTTTAACCTGAATGATCAGAAACATCTTAGCAGGGTTCAGATAGGTGAAATTACAGAAACAGCCTGCCCCAAGTGTCAGAGAGGCAACAGATTTAATAAATGAGTCACTATCTGTATGTGTTTATTGTCTATATTTACATAAGTATTAGATACATTTTTTTTTCCTTCTATTATGCTCACTCTCCCATACTTCAAGGCTTAGCTTCTGCTCTTCATTCCTTGGGAAATATTCCCAATCTGCTGGTGCTCACTTTTATTTGCGTCTGTGTGAAGAGACCACCAAACAGGCCTTGTGTGAGCAACAAGGCTGTTTATTTCACCTGGGTGCAGGCGGGCTGAGTCCGAAAAGAGAGTCAGTGAAGGGAGATAGGGGTGGGGCTGTTTTATAAGATTTGGGTAGGTAAGGGAAAATTACAGTCAAAGGGGGGTTGTTCTCTGGCGGGCAGGAGTAGGGGTCACAAGGTGCTCAGTGGGGGAGGTTTTTGAACCAGGATGAGCCAGGAGAAGGAATTTCACAAGATAATGTCATCACTTAAGGCGAGGACCAGCCATTTTCACTTCTTTTGTGGTGGAATGTCATCAGTTAAGGCAGGAACCGGCCATCTGGATGTGTACATGCAGGTCACAGGGGATAAGATGGTTTAGCTTGGGCTCAGAGGCCTGACACTCACTGGCCTCTTTCTCTGAGCTCCAACAGCAGCTACAGATTGCAGCAGAAGCTCAATCCAGAGAAGGGACCATAGACTCTTCTGCCCCTAAGCCTTGGCTCACTCACCCACCTACCTCATCCACACTCATAGTTGGCTGTGTCTGGCAGGCCAAGGTGGCTTCTATGAGGACCCAGGGGACTAGGTAGGTTCCATCACCACTCTTCTTTCCTAACCCTCCTTGTCTAACAGACTCAGAGCAGAAGTCCAGATTTTCATAATACTCTTTCTCCAGGGATTTCCTCTCAAGGTGCTAGCATTCTTTAGCTCAATTGGCTGGAAATCTTGATGAAAATGTGGTCTTATTTTAATCACATATTAAATTGTTCTATGTCAAAAACAGTTCTTCTTCTAGCAGGAAGTAGTGGTAATGGTAGCAATAGGGAATTTTCTGTAAGTGGATAAGCCAGTATCTACTTCAGTATCAGTGTTGGCCTCTTTCAGAGGAGGGGGCTTCTCACCATATCCACTAGCAAAACACTAGGATGTTTGCTTCTCAGCAGCTCTCCTCCCTTGTTTCTGCTTGTTAAGGAGAAAACATGCATAACAAATAACTCTTTAAAAATGATGGAGATGTTGCTTTACAGCCTGTCTTCTATTTGTAGAAACCATTTTAATAATTACCATCTGAAATAGTTATTTACTTATCTAATAAGAATAATAAAAACAATAGATAACATTTATTGACAAACTACTATGTGCAAGGCATTTTTCTCAGCTTGATATACTGTGTTTTTTTCCATATTAACTTTTAAGCATGGTGACAAGGTAATTGATGTTTTCTCTCTTTTACAAATTAGAAAGTCAAATTCAAGAAGATAAGAAAAAAAAAACAAGCTGAATGAAGACATTTATTTAGTCAGTGGCAGAAGTAGAACTTGAATCCAGTTCTTCACAACACCATGTCCAGCATTCATTCCATTCTATGAGGCAGTAAAGTTTAAGCCATACTCAAAACAAAAGAATCTTCACTGTTATAGTAGATTGCTATCCTATACAGAAAGCATATTAATGTCAAGTTCTCCGGTAGAACATAAATGATGCAGTCCTCTTCAAATCCATCTTGGTATATAACCTTTATATCTGGGCTAAATTTCCATGAAGTCTTCTGTAAATCACAGAAGACAGAATCTTTGGGAGCTCTATCTGGCATTGTTAAATTTAAGCTCCAAATCAGTATTTGTCAAAATAAAACAAATCTCAATCAAATTTTGTGCAAACAGAAGACAAGCCAATGTAGAAGATCAAGTGGTCAAATTGAAACACAGATTGCAGTTGGCCCCATGTAGGCATCCTGGACAGATGACAGAATTCCCTGTTGTAGGGCCTGCCTGGAGCCATCTGGAGGTTTACAAGTCACAGCAGCAGCAACCCAGGCTCAGAAGCCCAGGAGGGAGCCTGATACAGGGAGTCTGAATTCTAAACCACT
This sequence comes from Homo sapiens, assembly GCF_000001405.40. Taxonomy (NCBI): domain Eukaryota; kingdom Metazoa; phylum Chordata; class Mammalia; order Primates; family Hominidae; genus Homo; species Homo sapiens. The sequence continues at coordinate 17,334,398 of NC_000002.12, read as the reverse complement.
TATTCTACACCTCTTTGATTTCTCTCTACCCAGATTCCTGAAGTCTCCAGGGAATGGTATTGTGGTAGCAAAACTGTAAACTCTTAGCTGGGCAAGTAATTGGCTTGCGGTTGACCTAGGAGAAATACACTGTTTCTAAAATGTGTGTTGAGGAGCACAGAACAATTTTTTAACCTTGATGCCATGCCTCTTTCCTCCCAGATTCAGTAAAAGGGAAAAATAAATTCCTAATATTCCTTCCTCCCCCACTACCCTGTGTCCCTGTGTATTTTCCCTGACTTTGTGTCTTTGTATATCTCCCACGCTAACCATTCTGCTTCAACTTTTCTGGTACACACTCATGTTTTTTTCCACTGAAATACCTTCTTGAAATCATAGAACTATTTATTACAAATGGTTATAATATAAAGTCAATATATAAATCCAGAAAAGGTTTAAGAATTATCTCAATGTCCCAGTTTCTTTTGCGCTGATACAACAGAATACTGGAGACTGGGTAATTTATAATGAACAGAAATTTATTGACTCACATTTCTGGAAGCTGAGAAGTCCAGGATCAAAGAGCCAATATCTGGTGAGGGCCCTCTCTGTGTTATCACATGGCAGAAGGTGGAAAGGCAAGAGCCCAAGAGAGCAAGCCCACTCCCACAAACCATTTTTGTAATAGCATTAATCTATTTATGAGGGTGAAGCCTTCTTGACATAATCATCTCCCATTGGGCCCTACCTTCCAACACTGCAGCACTGGGGACTAAGTTTCCAACACATGGAGTCTATGGTTTGGACACATTTGAACCATAGCACCTAGGCAAAATTAGTGGTTTTGTTCTGTTTTGTTTTGACTTTTACTAAATTACAAATGTTTATTCTTTCAAGGGCACACACATCTGCATGGCACTTTTTGGATCTTTTGGGCCTTTAGAACAACTTTCTCATAAACAGCTTCTGATTCAAAGACAGAAGTCTTTAAATTGCCTTGTATACACTTTCAAATAACACTAAAGTGGCCTTTTTTTTTTTTTTCTTCTCATCCACTGTCCAGTCATGGCTCATTTTTAATGCATGCAGCTTGCATCCAGCTTGAATACAGAAAAAGTTCAGATGCCATATATGCCATCTGCATCCCCTATGCTGATCTTCCTTTGATTGGTTAATCTGAATTCCCCTTGATTCTTCCTGTGCCTCATTTGGCAAGAGGCTAGTTGTTCTCAACCCTGGCAACCCATTAGAATCTCCTAAGGGCACTTAAAAAATACTGACATCCAGCCTCTTCCCCAAGATTTGGATTTAATTGTGTGAAGTGGAGTTAAAGGATCAATATTCTTAAAATGCATTCCAAGGGGTTTTAATGTGAGCTAACTGGACTTTGGGATTTCTTTCTGTCCTCTGGGTCTACAAAATTCTGAGTGCATAGCCTATCTATGGTAGATGGTAGGTGTATCACCTTCTTTTGTTTGTTTGTTTTGTTTTCATTCAGAGGGTTCCTGCCATTTTATGAGGCTTACCTCTCTGTCAAAAAATATATATATATCACTTTTAATTTGTAAAGGGGACAGATCCTCTCTCAGCAGAACTTTATAAATGCATTTACACATAGAGATGCAGAATAGCCCCTGAAAAGTGTTCCAACTCCAAAAAGGTAGATGATGTTTTTTGAGATGTCTGTCTTACTACCAGGGCATTTCCATTCCAAGGCTTGCTCATTTGTATCTTATTTTTCCAAATGAATAACTCTTACAAAGCATGAGAGATGAATTTCTGCAAGTTAGAGAAAGAACAATGTGATCAATCATTCTGTTCTTGCTGCCAACTTTCTCTCCTCAACAACATAATGATAGATCTGCTTGAGGGGATAACATCAGAAGTTTGCTCCCAAATTTTCCTCTGCTCAAAGAGAAGCTTTCTGTGTCTGATGGGAGTGCTGAGTCCATGGAAAGAGGGGTATGGACATGTGTTCAAGAGTCAGTGAAATAGTGGATGAAGCTTTTCTTCTATGCCTTAAACTCTACATGTCAGAAAATATCCAGTAGCAACTTTACTTTGATTTTATGTTTTATTAAAACAGTGACAATTAAAGAGAGAACATTACTCTAATTAAGTAATTGAATAAAATGTTGAACAGATGCACTCTGGCTGCTGTGGACAGCAGATCCTCATGTACAATGGTGAGCACAGCAAAGCCATCTGGACATTTTTTGTCCTCTTTTGTCTAAATTGGTTTTTGTTTTTGGAGATGCCACTCCAAGAATTTCCATACCATTAAGGCTACTGCTTTCAATAGCACAAGGATAGAATAGAGAATAGTGTTCACAGTATGATTGAGGAAGTCTTCTTCTTAGACATCTCATACTGGTCAGGAAGGACCAAAGGGCTTTGCTTCTGCCTTTTCTCTATTACTAGATCATAAGCTGACTAGCATGCTAGCTTGGTATTAGGGTATCTTTTTGTGTGTAGAATTCAACAAGATACATCCTCAAAATCTAAACTTCCCATATGTCCGATTGCCCCAAAGCAGAAATGGGACAGAGATTTATGTAATGCCAGCATGAATTCTCTCACATTGAGAACTGCTCTGATGATGAGCATGGTACCATCTGCTACAATAAAAGGATCAAGCTTCCTTTTTGGAGGGGAGAATGGAATATCTAATCATTTGGCCTTAAACTCATGGACTGTGGAAGGTAGAATGCATCTAGTGTTCAATCATTGGTCTGATGGGTGGTGGTTTTGTTTGTTTTTCTAAGTACAGAAAAAAAAATCAGAAGGAATTTTTGAACCTTTTGTCCAAGACACGCTGCATCCGTCAGATGCTTCCGTGTTCTCTGACCAGGTTTGTTTGTTTCAGGAAACATATTTCTCTTTCCCCTAGCATTTCATTTGCACAATGGACTATATTGCTTAATTAGTGTCCATTTACATACTATAGTATTCAAAGAAAAGCTATAGACTGAATCTAATTTGGTAGTGTATCGGGGTCCTGACACCAACAGCAGAACATCTCATGTGGGGCCAAGCAGAGGTACACCAAATTGTGTTAGGCCTCAGTATTTGGACTCAAGACTGTGCACATCAATCTGTGCTCTGGATATATCTATATATGAGTTCTAGAATTTGCTGGCACTCAAGAGGACTGTATGTGCATGTGTATGTGTATGTGTATGTGTATGGTGGCTTGAAGGATAATCCACACACCTTCCCTCTGCTTCATCCCTCAAAGAAAGTAGAATTACCTAGAATACTCAGAAGAAGAGATGCCCCTGAAAATAATTTGCTAGAGAAAGTGGAATTCAATTTTAGAAACCCTCTGCAAGACCCATTTAATAAATTTAAGATGGCACATTCTCCATATAAGGAATAGGTGCATAAGTCAAGACTAAGTTGAAATCAAAGTAGATATAAAAGGGAATTATCTGAAATAACAGAATTTAAATCTGTTGTTAAATAAAATCAAAATCTAGTGTCTGAATAAAAATCTGCAAAGGAAGGAGAAAAAAGAAGTAAAATTTAAAAACAAAAGGAAAACAATAGAAATCAAAGATGTATCTGAGGCCAGGTGCAGTGACATATGCCTGTAATTCCAGCTACTTGGGAAGCTCAAGTGGGAGAATGACTTGAACCCAGGAGTTCAAGATCATCCTGAGCAACATAGTGAGACCTTGTCTCAAATTTTTTTTGAAATGCAGAAGAAAAAGAAAAAGTGAAAACATGGATAAAATGGTAATAGATATAAGACTCAGAAAGCAAATACCCAATCCCAGAAAGATAGGTGTTCCAAGAAAAAAAATAAACGGTAATAAATCAGAGATAATCCTGAAAGCAATATTATGTACATAATTTTATGGAGCTGAAAAATACTTATGTTTGCAAATCAAAAAGGGTTACTGTGGTCTAGACCAAGCTTGTCCAACCCATGGCCCATGGGCTGTATGCAGCCCAGAATGGCTTTGAATGCAGCCCAACACAAATTCATAAACTTTCTTAAAACATTATGAGATTCTTTTTGTTGTTATTATTATTTTTTTTAGCTCATCAGCTATCGTTAGTGTTAGCGCATTTTATGTGCGGCCCAAGATAATTCTTCTTCTTCCAGTGAGGCCCAGGGAAACCAAAGGATGATTAACTTCTATCCTCGTGACTTTGGGCAAGTCTCTTAACTTCTCTGTGCCTCAATTTTCTAATTAATATAATAGGGGTAACACTAGTGTCTGGCTCAAAGGGTTGTGCAGGTTTTAAATAAGTAAATGTTTCTAGAGCATTTTGAATGGTGACTGAAGCATAGTAGGCAGTTATAGGTGTTTTTAATGAAATAAATAAAAAAGGCATATCTATTTTAATACACATTTTGTTGAATAGGTAGCTCAACATCAAGTGATTCTCAGTGCCTGGGCTGTTCTGACTTGTACCTGCACCCTGGTCCTTGGGCTCCTATCTCCCTGTAATCGCATCTTGCCTCACTCTCTCTGCTGAGAATACTGCAGGCAATTTTTGTTAGATGCATTATCCAAGAGAAGGCCAGTAGGAGCAAATAGGAAGGCTCTTAAGCAGACTTACCAAAGGGACCCACACGATAAGCTTTCCATATAATGACCTTGCTTTTGTGCAACACCTGTGTCCCAGTGCTAATTGGAAAGTACTGCATATCTCCAAGAGCACCCTGGATTCAAGGCAGCCATTCAGAGAAATATCTGCATGGATCATATATTTGCTTAACCCAAACAGATTTTTTCACGCTTAGGGTGATCAATATGAGTTAGAGGCCAAAACCAAGGACAAAATGTTATACAAGAAATTGACTTATGCAATGTTGCATTGCTTTCAGTATTTTAATTAGCTGGCTTTAAAATCCAAAAGAAAATCATTAACAATGTTGGGACTGTAAGATGAAAGACATACTATTGCACTTAGTTAACACTTAATTATGCTTAACTTCAGAATGATCCTATTTCAGCAGGTAATTCTGTTGCTTTTTTTTTTTTCCAGAAAACAGGACAGGAGTCCAGGAATAGCATTGGGTAAGAAAAAGTTTAGGGGAGCTATAAGAAATACCACAGGATAAATTATGATTTACTCTTTGCAGAGTTCAGCAATAATGTCATTGTGCAGATGCCAGGCCAGAGTAAGTTGACAGAATTTTTTTTTGACACTTACAGGTATGTAAGTTTCGAATCCAAAATATATTTGGACAGTAGTTATGATAGTATACAATTATATGCTCAACGAAATTTGAACCTTAATAAAACAAAGTACAGAATAACGCTACATCAATACAGTTTCTTATGTTGTAGCAGAACAATGAGATTTACAGCTAGAAGATTTAGGTTTAAAGCTCAGGGTTTAAAGCCACTTACCTGGTGTGTGACCTTGGGCAAGCTGCTTAACAGGACCAGAGATTCTTCAGTTATAAAATGAGCATAGCACAGCCTATCTCACAGGTGTTTGGGAGGATTCACCATTAACATGTACATATGTGCCAACTCTGTGCCTGGACTTTGTAGATACTCAAGAAATGCTAGCCCCTTCCTCCTTTAGGGAGAGGCAGTGCAGAAGATAGAAATTAAGGTGGAAGTTCCTCATGGAAGTTCCATCTCTTGAGGCCAGGAATACTCCAAGGCTATCTCTGCCAATCAGGGCATTGAAATAGGAATTTAGAGAAAAGTAAGGTGTGTGTTCTTTGAATGTCAGGATATACCAGATCCCAAAGTAGCCTTGTAAAGTTCTCTGACACTAGCTCTTGTCTCTGAAGGATTCTGTCCTCCTCTAGGAAAACTTCTTTAAACACCTCAGCACTTGGGGAACTTTTCTTTCCTCAGAAACTGTAGCTCTGGGAACTTTATGTAGTTCCTGGGAAACTCCTGCATTTCTTTAAAAGTCAATGTAGATGACTTAGCTATTTCACTCACCTGAAAGCCCCTGGGTGTTTGGAGCTGCACCAACCTAACATATTCTCTCTCTATAACACCTAGTGGGAGAAGAGCTGAGAAAGAAGGAAGAGAACAAAAGCCAATTTCCAGGCTGTAGGAGATGCTCAAGAGAGAGGTCTGCCCACCTTTGGAATTAGTCCCAGAACCAGCACCAGTTGCCCTGGTTGGCATCATTCCTCTTAGAGGAGGAGCCACACACTAAATATCTGTATTTCATTCCCCCAAAACAAAGTGTGTGTGTGTTTTTTTAAACATTAAATGACTTTCCCGCTTCCTATTCTATGGGAAAAGTTCCCATTCTATGTAAAGCCAATGTTTGCATTTGTATCTATATTTGCATGCCAATCTTTTTTTTTTTTTTTTTTTTTTTTTTGAGACGGAGTTTTACTCTTGTTGCCGAGGCTGGAGTGCAGTGACGTGATATCGGCTCACTGCAACCTCTGCCTCTGGGGTGCAAGTGATTCTCATGCCTCAACCTTCCGAGTAGCTAGGATTACAGGCATGTGCCACTATGCCTGGCTAATTTTTGTATCTGTAGTAGAGATGGGATTTCACCATGTTAGTCAGGTCGGTCATGAACTCCTGACCTCAGGTGATCCACCAGCCTAGGCCTCCCAAAGTGCTGGGATTACAGGCATGAAATAAAACCTATGAGTCATTATTACTGCAGTGAACTAACTTTGCACTCTACCTGCTTCTTACTGGATGAGGGGCATCAAAATTCTTTTTATTTTCTATCAAGTGAGTAAAATCCTGTGAGAGGCATTGCAGTAGAAGGAGTCAGAGTGCTGGAACGATGTTTAGTGCGTGGTAAGCACACAATAACTTACTGGAGGAAGTGTTCACTGGGTGGCTCAAGGTTGAGGGGTGTGGGAAGATGTTCAGGGAGAGAGAACATCATGAAGAAGTGAGAATGCTATGGTATATGTAGGGCATGCATGCAGTTCCTTATGGCTGGAGCAGAGTGTGCATGGAGAGAGAGAGGCAGCATGAGAGATGATACTGGATATTTTATTCTTTATGCCTGGACTTAGCCAGGTTGGAACCAGCAGCAGTGAGAGCTCTTCTCTAAAAGGGGATGAGAAATAAAGTTTCATATCAAGAGATAGGAGCATTTGGGGTGACAGGAATATGTAGCAAAGCCACATAAAGTGGAAGATTTTCAGCCAGACCCAGGAACTAGTTCAGTGGAGTGTGAAGTGTGCTTTGTGGGAAAGATAAAAATGAAATATTAAACTTCCCATCAATGTTTGAGGTATTTTCAGTTGGGCCCTATTTTCAAAATATGAAGAAAATTCAACTCCCTCAATTTATCATCCCACTCAGGCATCTCGTGTGAGTTATATTTTGACAAAGGACTGGAAACTCCAGACAGGTTTAATGGAAAGAAAGGGGCAGTCACACCTTCCTGTGGGTTTAGAACAGGGGTTCTAGAAGCAGTGCGTAGTGAGGCTGAATGTGGAGGGTCTCCCTATAAGGAGGACAACATCTGTCACTTCAGACTGGCTGACTCTTGCTAATCCTGCCAAGTTGAATGCCATCAGCATGCATTCCAGAATGCGTTCTCAGATCTGCTCAGACTAGCTGCTCCTTTGGCACTCCACACAGCCCCTAATGCCAATTAAATTCTTTGTTTATGTAAATGCTTTCTCCACTGGACTTTGAACTCTTTGAGTCAAGGAGAGTTCTTATACATCTTTGAAGTCTTAGCACAGGGGATACTCAATAAATGTGTGTGCAGAAGACTTTCTCAAGGGGGCTCAGGAAGTTGAACTTGGATGGTTATATGGGGCTTGGATTTTCTAAACCGTTTCTAAACAATCTTGAGGAGGTGGTGCTGGCCCTGCTCATGGCCTGCCAGCTCTGTTGCCACCTCTAATTTCAGAATCAACCTTAAAGGAGAACTCAGAATAACATTCAGGTGGTAGCTGGTGAAGGCTACTTTCCTCACCAGCATAACTGGGATAATCATTCTAGCTCTGTGACCCGGAAGGGCCATTTATCTCTCCCTTCTTTAGTTTCCTGATTTGTAACATGAACAGCATAATGCAATTCTAAAGATCCACTATGGGATTCAACAGGAGAATGTATGCAATCGTGCCTAGAAAGAGTGCTCTATACACACTTCCTTTCCTCATTGAAATCACTCCTACTACAGATAGTCCAGATCCCCTCATGACCTTTCTCACTGAAATCATCAGTTTCCCAACTGCGAAAAATGTGGATACCATTGTCTCTGTCAGACAGTTGAACTTTCATGTCAGCTTCTTCTTTTTTTTTTTTTTTTTTAGATAGATTTTTGCTCTTGTTGCCGAGGCTGGAGTACAATGGCACGATCTTGGCTCACCACAACCTCTGCCTCCCGGGTTCAAGCGATTCTCCTGCTTCAACCCAAGTAGCTGGGATTACAGGCATGTGCCACCATGCCTGGCTAATTTTGTATTTTTTTTTTAGTAGAGACGGGGTTTCTCCGTGTTAGTCAGGCTGGTCTCGAACTCCTGACCTCTGGTGATCTGCCCGCCACGGCCTCCCAAAATGCTGGGATTACAGGCATAAGCCACTATGCCCAGCCCAGTTTCTTATTATGTCAACAATCAAAACCTGTTCTGTGTGTTCCTTCCATGTGAAGGGTACTCCTCGATTGAGTGAGAGCAAGTGTTCTGGTTATCTACTGCTGTATAACAAACTTTTCCCAAATGTACTGGCTTTATACAGACTTTTTTTTTTTTTTTTTTTTTTTTTTTTTTGCTTAGGACTACTCTGTGGGTCAGGAATTCAGGAAGGCTTCATTGGGTGATTTGTCTTTGACCTATGTGGTAATAACTGGGATGGCTGGGGCCAGAGGATCCGCTTAGAAGATAGCTTCTTCACTCATACCCATAGCCCCTCAGTGTTCTGTGGCCTCTCTCTCTTTACCTGGCATCCTTAGGTTGCCTGCAGGTGGCTTGAGTTTCTCTCAGTGTGGTGGTTTCAGGGCAGTCAATTTGCTTACATGGAAGCTGACTTTCTCAGTGGGACCATTTCAAGAGTGATTGTTCTAAGAGATCAAGGCAGAAGTTTCAAGGCTTTATATGAACTGGCTTCAGAAATCACATAGTATCATTTCTGGTACACTCTGTTGGTTACACAGGGTCAACTCAAATTCACTATGGGAAGGGATGACAAAAGGAAGAGAGTACAGGGAGGCATGGTTCATTGGAAGTTATTTTGGAGATCAGCTATCATAGCAATTGATTGCCCACGATTTTCTGTTTTTTGTTTTTTTTCCTTAAATCTCCTGACCTACTGAAATTTGCCAGGTTAAAATCTCAGAGCTTACTGACCCTGGGAAATGCTATCCAAAGAGATCATGTAGAGCTGGTATCAGAGGATTTTTCAAGGTTATTTTAGGAGCTGGTGCATCCTGACATTCAAAGAATACACACATTTCTTTTCACTAAGTTCTCATATAAATGCCATGACAGGCAGTGAGATAGACTTAGAGTATTCCTGGCCTCAGGAGGTGGGACTTCCATGAGGAACTGCTATCTTAACCTCTATCCTGTTCACTGCCTCTCCACAAAGGAGAAAGGGTCTAAGATTTTAAATATGTGCCAGGCACACACTTAGCACATACATACATGTTAGTGGTGAATCCTCCCAAAGACCGGTGAGATAGACTGTATTATACTCATTTCATAATTGAAGAACCTCTGGTTCTGCTAAGCCACTAGCCTGATGTCACACAGCAGGTAAGTGGCAACCCTGAGCTTTAAACCTAAATCTTCTGGTTTTAAAGCACATTGTTCTTCTACAGCACAAGAAACTGAACTGATGTAGCATTATTCTGTACTTTATTAAGGTTCAAATTTCACTGAGCATATAACTGTATACTAACTACTGTCGAAATATATTTTGAATTAGAAATGTACATACCTGTAAGTCTCAAAAAAATTCTATCAGCTTTGGCCTGGGCTCTCCAGAGTGCTCTTGGAGATGTGCAACACTTTCCAATTAGCATTCTCTTTGGCCTGATGGATGAGGAGAATGGGGATGGTCAGCTATCTCTTTTATCCAAATATGAGGTCCCCAGTGTTAGAGGTCTCACTCTGGCTTTCAGTGGGGCAAATGTTCATGAGCACACTACCGTTGAGCATGGCTTGCTTAGTGAGCCCATAGGAAATCAGGAAATTCACAATGATAAAGAATGATGGAATAACTGAGATGCATGGTATTTTTCTTAGACCTCTTAAGAGACTGGCAACAAATTGGGGCTTGATGGAAATTAATTTACATGAGTCAAGAAAAACCAGAGGACAGGTAGTAGGATTGATAATGTCAAAGTAGGAGGAGAAGAGGAAGAATCATATATTAAAGGAGAGGTGAGAAATGGCCATACATTGCAATTGGCTCAAGGCAGAGAAAAGTTAATTCTACACTTTATAATAGCACTACCAATTATTCACTGTCGGTACTAAGAAATATTTGTCAGCTCTCAACTTGTAAGTGGAGATAAATCTTACATGTTCAGTTGTGTCAGGTTATCATCTGGTCTACACTAATTGAATTTGTAATAGACCAGCCTGAGTCCTGACTCTCCACAAAGCTTCTCCTGACTACTCCCTCACGTGCTGATTCATGAACTTACGTCGTTACCCTACGGAGCTTTATCTGATTAATTCACTAGATTATGAGTCTTGAGGCAACAGTTCTTTCACTATACTTTTCCACCTCCCTACCCTTGCTCAACATGTACACATACACACTCACATGCTCATACACACACACTCACACACACATTCACACTCACACAATATACTCACACACTCACACACCACACACTCACAGGCACATACCCTTTTCTTCCAGCACAGGCCTAAATCCTTAGGAAGCACATAATAAACACTGGATGAAAGAACTGGGTTCCACACACTCAAAAACATTTAATGCAGAACAATGCATAGCCGTTAACTAATTCATCGATGATGCCAGTCTAATTTCAGGTGTTATTGCTAGGCCTGTTAAGCTTGGCCAGTTAGCTATCAGCTCTGTTGATGTTTGTAGCTTCTCTTAGATGAACATTTCCCAGAGTGATTGCTCCGGAATGTTACTTTGGAATGTTCACACATTATATGCAGTGTTGGGAGATCTACAGTTCATACTAGTATATTAAATGCCCTGAGAAGACCTGCAGGAAAGGAAGCCATTGTCTGAGTGAACATTTTCCAAATTAATTTATTTGACCATAGGTTATCTCTTAAGACAGCAGCACCTATTTATTTTCCAGGAAAGTAGTGTTTCCTGAAATACATTTCAGGAAATCATGGCCCACAAACCCCTGCTTTGATTCTTTATCTTCCTTGTTCTTGTGCTTGGTACTATCTACCTCCCTGTGCCTCAGGCCCAGGGCTTACCTTCTTGCTTCTGAGTGGATAGAAGCTCTGAGAACCTACAGAAAGATGCCCCTTTAGGCTAACTTAGCATTGTTTCAGGCTAGGAGGGGCCCCAGAAATACCATGTCCAATCTTTCATTTCAGAAACGAGGACATAGATGCAGATGAGGAGAAGTCCATTGAACACACTCAAGTTAGAACTGCAACTAAAACCCAGGCCTCTAAGTTCCAAAGAAAGAACATTTCTCCCCTTCTATTTTTCCTCCATTCATAGCGAAGCAGTTTCCTAGAGAGCCAGCATTTGGGCCCTGCTGGCTTCATTGAAAGTAGGCAGGCTCAAAAGCTGGTAGGAAGAATTATGATTTCCACAGGATATAATTAGTGATTTTGAGGAGTTCAATGCATGTCCTGGAAATGGAGAAGATTGGCAACTGGAGCCCATACTTTGGCAGAGGCTGAATGCTGCTTCTAAAACTCCTGGAACAATATAGTGCATTAGCTGGTCCGCCTCCACCTTGAAATAAAGGCTTCTGGCTCCCATGGGCTGGGCAAGGCAGAAAGGGAACAACTTGATTTTCAAATAAAGACCTTCTTTGAAAAATTTCCCAGGGGACATGATTTGTGGGATCATAGCCCAGTGGTAAGTGACGGTGTAAGGAGTAGTTCAATATGGCCCCTTGGGAAGGCCCACATCAAACATTCGAGGGATGTGGAAATCTTAGAGCAATAAGCTGTGCTTTGGAAAGCAAGCCCTTACTTCCTGAGGCCAAGCTGGGAGAGTGTATTAGTCTGTTCTCACACAGCTATAAGGATATACCTGAGACTGGGCAATTTATAAAGAGAAAGAGGTTTAATGGAGTCACAGTTCCACATGGCTGGGGAGGCCTCACAATCATAGCAGAAGGCAAAGGAGGAGAAAGGCACATTTTACATGACGGCAGGCAAGACAGCATGTGCAGGGGAACTACCCTTTATAAAACCATCAGATCTCATGAGACTTATTCAGTATCGTGAGAACAGCATGGGACAGACCCACCCCCATGATTCAATTACCTCCCACCAGGTCCCTCCCACAACATGTGGGAATTATGGGAGCTACAATTCAAGATGAGATTTGGGTGGGGACACAGCCAAACCATATGAGAGGGCCTAGGTGGTTTCCTTCTGACGAGTTTGTTTGCTGGAGGCTCTGTGGTAATGCTGAGGCCAGAGGCAGAAAGTGAGGTGACCAAGGGAACTAGGAGCTATGTGATAATTACTGGATACTTCCCAGACCTCTCCAAAGCCTGGAGATCTAGTGAGAAAACCGAGGCCAAGGAAAATACTACAGATAAAATTAGTGGAGAAGATCTAAAGTTGACAGGGGGCCAGTAGCAAGAAAGGGGTTTGGTGTAGCCTTCCAAACTCTTGATAAATGGTCACCTGCAAGAGGCCTTGGGACTTCAAGACCACTTAGTGAGTACGAGAGACATAGTTCTGCTCTTGTTCTGTATATCACAAGTTGTTTCTGTCCTGAAAAGATGAAGATAATGAATAAACTATGCCCAAGTAGGGTCCAGGGTCCCACTGTCCACCTGGGGATGGGAAAAGGGGATGGGTCTGAATCCATAAACTTTTCATGGCTGTATGTGTTCCCCAAGCCATGTAAGAAGCTAGTCACCGCTGGCTCCTGGGAAGGGTTTGTCCAGTGTCTCATTCTGTGGGAAAGGACCTTTGCGCCTTTTAGCACATGAACTTCCCTGGAAGTTTAGCACATGAACTTGTTTGTCTATAATACAGGTTGCTGGGCTCCGGGCATGCACAATAACACTTAGGAGCCAAATGCTTTGGCCCTCACCCCATCTGCCCTATTCAGTAACTCAGCACATGCATACACAATCGCACACACATGCACCTTGACTTGTGCTAGGGAGGAGCAGCACAAAGACCCTCAGCCTGGGGTCTCTTTCCCTCCCTCTCAGGGATATGGGCCTTAGAGTCAGAGAGAAAGAATCCAACCCGTGTGGAAGGAGGCAGAGGCACCTCAGCACAACGTTCATCAGCCAGACCTTCTCTGTGTGGGAAGCAGAAAATTGAGAGAAGGGGACAGAGTGGTCTGTGGTGCCTGCCCACAAGGAGCCTTCACTCCTACACAGATGCAAGGGGGCATATATGCTAGCTTGTGAGGAGTTAAGGAAATCCATGTGTGCTAGAGAATGGAGAGCAGGTCTCCTGAAGTTTTAAGGCCTTGACTGAGGCCTCCAGGGATTGTTCTATGCCAGGGAGCAATTAACAGACAGGAATCCCAGGCTTACTCCACGTTGCAGGGACATGAAATAACCCAGCAGAAGGGTTTTAAATATTTGTCAAAAAGTAGTACAAGTGTTAAGGAACCCTAGCAAGTATGAAGGCAGAGCACAGCCCTGGGCATAGGAGGGACAACTGAATGCTAATGGGATGGGTGATGAGAAGAACCTAGGCATTGCTAGCATTCACCTATTCTGGGCTTAGCTTCTGCCCAAGCAGAAAGGTCTCTCATAGCCAAAAATATGGATCTGCCTTTTCCATTGAAGTCTGAGTGTCCTGTGCCCCATTTAGCCTCACTCCCCCACAGCCGTCTTTTCAGGGCTGATATACAGACGTAGGCTCTTATGGGGCTGTATTGAAGCCACGTAGCTGTTCATTCCAATTCAGGGTCCTAGGTCCTGGGTTAAATATCTTTCCACCCATGCATTCATCCGTTTATGCATTCATGGCAGAATGACTTTTATACTGCACCATGAAAAGGCAAAGTGCTGGGCACATCTTCCCCAATTCCATTTCTAGCACTTCTTCCACCAGACACCCTGGTTTTGGTGAGACCAATTATTGCTGTGGTCCTGTGGTCTTGTTTTGGAATTTCTGAGCTGGAAAATGTTTCAGAGGTCAGCTGGTCTTCCTACCTAATACAGGAAATGTGCAAGCTTGTTGCTGGGGTGTGTGACCTTGTGAAGCTATATAATTGCACAAGGTCCTGCACTCAGAAGGACTCACAAGTGGCTTATTGCTCTGCTATGGCTGTCTTTAAATTCTTAATTATTTTTTCAAAAGGAATCTTACATTTTCATTTTGTTTTGGGTCCCACGAATTATATAGCCAGTTCTGAACACATGATGAGGATCCTAAACTCTATTACAAAAACCTCGATCACCAGGACCTCATTACCTTTCCACTGTTAACTCTTAATGGTAAAGGCTTTCCTTATATTGATCTGAAAAACACTCACATCTAACCAGTTTTGTCCTCTGAGATCTAAAGAGCAGTTTTTGGAAAGATGGATGGATGGATGAATGAATGATGACAAAGGGCTGGCCACTTGCACACTTCCCTTAGGAAAGATAGGGAGTCGTTAAGACATGTTCCCAGAGACCACGTTCATTCTGAGCATTAGCAAAGTCTATGATGGAAAGAGAAAAAATATCCTCCAGGGAAAGCTTGTTCAAGTCACACACCCTGATGGTCTGATGATTGCGTCTGTGTGCAGAGCATTTTGTGATTTAAAGAAACACAAGTTTTCATAGCCTGTCTTATATATTTAATAACAATGATGTAGGTTCAAACATCTCTAATTTATAGATGAAGGTATAAACTATGATATAGATATAAACATCTCTACTTTATAGATGAATACAAATTTAGATTTGTATCTTTAAATCCCAGTAACAGGACCTGGGCCATCATCACAATCATTATGTGATAACAACAGTACAATATTAAAATGCACACTAATACTAGCATTTGTGCTGGCCTGTGTGCTGGCACTCTGCCAAGAGCTTTACATATATTGATAGTCATCACCAACCTACAGTGAGTACTCTTAACTTCTGCTCTTTAGGAATAAGGGCACTGAGGCCTAGAGAGGGTAAGGATCTTGCCCAAGGTCACACAGATGGTATGCACAGGTGCCCAGAAAATGTTAGAAAAGTGAGTGAAGATGTATCATATCTCTCCTAGAAGCATAGATTTGGACATAATGGAGCTGCATCCCTGGTGAATGTCCACCCAGCCTCTGTTGTCATCCTCTGATACCACTGAACCCACTATGTCTTGAGGGTATCTGTTCTATTTTTGGACAACTTCCATTGTAAAATATCTCCCAAATTTTGGTTGAAATTAATTTCTTTGTAGCATTCACTCTTTGGTTTCAATTGCGTACTCACTCTTTTACAGAATAGATTTGACTCCTACTTTTTGTGACACCCTTTAAAAATTTGAGGTTGAAAGATGGAGATGAGGTTGGAGGAAGACAATGAAAGTGTTC
Organism: Homo sapiens; assembly: GCF_000001405.40. Lineage (NCBI taxonomy): Eukaryota > Metazoa > Chordata > Mammalia > Primates > Hominidae > Homo > Homo sapiens. The sequence continues at coordinate 17,318,826 of NC_000002.12, read as the reverse complement.
CGAGTAACTGCCCTACAACAGGTACTATGAGTGTCATCATTGCTATTACTGTTGATATGGGCCTTGGACTGTTCTAGGCATTTTTCTTACCAACAGGGTCCCATTTATAGATGATGGCAAATTCATGTAGAAAACCGATACCTCAAGAGATAAAGTAATTTTCTCAAGGTCATGCAGTGAGTAGGTGACTGAATCCAGATTTAATCCCAGGTGTGTCTGGCTTTCAAGTCTGTATTCTTTTGACCACATTGTATAATCTTTGAAGGTAATAATAATCTCTTTTCTGGATTTTCTTTTTTCCTGTTTAACTGAAATAATGGTAGAAAATGTTGTCTCTCCTCAATTTATTGGACCCTTTGACTTAAGGGAAACAGTGGTGCCCCTCAGGAAAAATAATAGGTAGTTGTCTTTTCCGGGGATGGGAAATTTCTCAGCCTGTCGTGGTAAGCTACAGCAGCTCTGAAAATGTCCTCTCACATCCTGTGAGGGGTGGCCAGGCAGAAGGGCAGAGAAATTTATAGGAGTGGTATTTCACTTATTCCTGTGAACAGAGAAGGAAATATTTACAGTTCTACTCATAAAATATTTACTAGGCTCTTATGTAATTTGTTGATAACAAACAGATTTTACTTAACTTTGAGGTGATGAGCAATCCTGTTAAACAGATGGGACCAATAACAAAATCCTGATTAGACAAATGTTTTCTGTAGCACGGCACTTGTACCATGTTAGGTTTGCCTCTGGGAGAAAATCTCCAAACTAGTAACTGGACCTGAGGTGAAAATAGCAGTGGATTCTTTAATTAATTAATAAATTATTTTGCTTTCTTTTTCCTGCAGAAGAATTTCTTACATTCCTTGTCCAGGGACTGTTTTTCAGGACTTGCCTTCTTTGTAAGCCCTACTGTCCGATTATTGAAGATAGTCTTAAGGCTAAAGACCCTGCCCCTGTTCAGTTTGTTTTTCCCATACACCCTGCCCAAATTCACACAGCATTTTATGACTGAATCCTCTGCAGCAAACTGTTTCCGTTTGCTTCTCAAGCTGAATTGGCTGATCTCCAATTCAGATTTTCTGAAAACTCGATATTGCCTTCTTTCTCTGCAGTGAGCAACTTGGTGAAGTGTTTAAAATGATCATCCCTGGGCAGTGGCAGCTCCTGCAGTGCAGGCTTGGCACCGCCTCCCTCAGGGAGGGCTAAGTAAACTCCACCAGGATCCTGTGCCCTGGGATCCAGCAGCAGGCATTGCCCCCTCCGGAGAGCCTGTCATGGTGGCTCTCACTACCAGGAGAATTTACTTATTCAAGGTTCCCCACTTCCTTCTCCTCCTCCTTCCTCATAAAGAGACCAGGAACCTTAGAAAAGGTGGGCTTTGATTTGATGTCAGGTTCTGCCTGGGACCCACTAGGCCAGCTTGAGGAGGTCTCTGACCCTGGTGGCCACTCCCTTGTCTGTGGAAGCAGGGCTGCTGTGAGCACAGCACTTGACACCCGGCCAACCATCAGCAGATGGAACTGTTATTATTATTATTATTATTAGCCAGTAGGGTGTGTCAGACTATATATGACTTTGGTCTATGATGGTCTACATAACTTGGGGATACACAAGACTTCAGCCTCCTTTTAGCTTTGCTGCTTAAAGTGGCCTTTGTCCTGAAGACGTGGCTCCCAGAGGAGGAAGGGAGTGGTATAAAGAGCCCCAAGTAAGGAAATCTCAGGTTATATCCTCATACTAATCCAAAGCTCTTCACAAGGTGCTGAGCAAGACCAGATTTTCATCTGCTAAGTGGAAGCATTCTATGAAATGACTTTGTGATCCCTCTGGCTCTTATACTTTTTAATGGAAATGTTTAAGAAAAGTGGTGATATGAATTACAAACTATGGAATGATAGTTTATGGAGATCCTCCACCTCACCTCCATCTTCTCTGTTTTATTTCATTAGATGCTCCCAACTACTCTTCCAGGCAGCGTCCCTACCCCATTTATCAGGTGAAGCCTCTCCATTAGAGTACCTTGCAGAGACTTCCCCGGGGCTAAACGCAGAGCTGGCATTGAGGTAGGCTGACTTTAAAGACCATGCTCTTTTCACTACGTGTTGTTCCTTTCTTTGAGGATAGTCCTTGAATTCAGTTCCCTTGCCAGCATTTGGGATCCAAGCCTTTCAAGGATTGCTCAGTCACTTATGAGTATTTTGATATTTAAAATATGCTCTCTGCCATGTCCCTAACATGGGGCAATCTCTTAGAGAAAGCTGTCAGGAAGAGGTACATTGCCTAACTGAAACACTAGTATCAAGTTCTCCTCTAGGTGCCACTGAAGATTTCGTGGCTCAGGTTTCCAGGTAGAAGTGGGTGCTTGAATTTAACATCCATTACAGAATTGTCCTGTGGGTGCTTGAATTTAACATCCATTACAGAATTGTCCTGCACTAAGAAGAAGAGAAATATTCTATACAGGGATATCATTAATTCAGTACCTACTGATTTGAAATCTGCAATTACTCTTGTTCAATTCATAAAGAACAGATTTGTTTACCAAATTAATAGCCCACAAAATTGCCAAGATCTCTATTTTCTCGGGAAAACTGGCTTGTCAAACTGGGAAATTCTTCATGGTAGTTTATGGAAATGTTGCCCCTAAGAAACTTTACATAATTTTTTAAAACTCTTTGAAAATTACGCTAATATGGACTTTTTACATTTATCCTCTCTTTCTCCTTTATTAGCTTATATTATTGAGGGTTAGGAATACATTTTGAGGTATTTTAAAATCTAGACTGCGGGAGAAGTTGCTCATCTCAAATCTTCTTATGTCTCTTTTCATTCTTCATATCTTTCTCTTTCCCCACCCTCAGTGCCTCCAGAAAGACATTGATAACCTGACTAATCAATTCCCAGAGCATCGATTGGGATATATTTCCTCTTTATTGCTGGTACAGATCAATGTAATTAAAAACAGGAGTTCATACGGTATTTTCTCTCCCTTCTGTTCCACCTGGCAGAGTGGCAGGCTAAATCAAGCCCCACTTGGAACTCTGCCATGCCTCCCTCTTTGCAAACATCACTACATTTCTTATCATTGCTTTGAGGATGGTAGATCCTGAGACCTAAATTTGTAATTAAGGGATTATTGCAGTCTTTCAAGCTAAGCCTCATGTTCTGCTATGGACTGAATGTGCCCTTCCAAAATTTATATGTTGAAACCCAAGACCCCAGTTTGATGGTGTTTGAAGATGAGGCCTTTGGGAGATAATTAGGTCATGAAGGTGGAACCCTCATGATGGGATTACTGCCTTGTATAAGAAGAGACACTGGAGCGCTTGCTTTCTCTCTCCCTGCTCTCTGCCATGTGAGGATTAGCAAGAAGGTAGCCTGTCCACAAATTGTTTTATAAAAAATTATTAAGGATTTCAAGATGATGACAACAAAGCATTAAATCAAATGCATCATTAAATCAAGGGCACTGTGTGACTGCACCTGCCTATGAAGCAGGCCCAACCACTAGGCTATGCTGAGGGGGCTGGATTTTGTGCTCATTGCTATTGGAAGTGATTAAAATACCAGCAGCAGGAGGAGGGCTTAGAAGTAATGTAACCCAATTACTTAATTTGAGAGAAAGTAAGGTGATATGAGACAGAGAAGTTGGTAACTAGAGTATCCTTGGTCTTAAGAGACAGGAAACTTGAATAGTCTCAGCTCTACCTTTTTCTTGCCATGTGGTTTTGAACATGGAAAAGCCTCATCTAATCCTCTCACTCCCATTCCCCTCAGCTCTGGTGCCTCAAGAAAACCTGATTCTGGAGCCTTGGAATCTGAATTTTGAAAGATCTCTGGGTGGTTCTAATGTGCTGTCATATTAAGCAATGATAGCACTAAAGCATCTATGCTACATACATATTTATAGATATTGCATTCTCCTTCTGCTATCTGTTGACCCAAGTCAGTCTTTGACACAAGCCCCAGAATTGTCAAGCTAATGCTTTGCTTTGCTAATCCAGGAAGAGAATGTTTTATTTTTTAGACTGAGATGTAATGGCCTGGTAGGAATGGTGGTCACTGGGTACATCAGTTGTACAGAGTGTCCAGAGGAAGAAAGTCAGTGGTGGAAACATCTCAGGGGCTCCCTCTGCACTCTCTGCTCCTATACCTCAAAAGGTAAACTCATTTAAAGTGTTAATTTATTTGACTCTGTGTTTAGTGAACTGTTTGTCATTTCACTTTGCCCAAATTCTTTTTGCTTCTATCGCTTCCTTCTTTATCTCTCAGAATGGAGTCTGGACATCTACCCTTAGCTGTTGTCTGTTGTCCATACGCATGGTTGGTGATGCAGGGGCAATGTGTCATCAAGTGTGTTGATGACAGCAACACCTCTGAACATTTCCTAATTGTCTAGGTTTCAATTATTAGAGAATGCTGACATCAAAATTCATAAACTAGTAAATTTGTGTGCAAAATTCCTAAATATTTGTACAATGTTAAGGGACCATTTTCAGATGTTAAAATAACCTTTTAAACATCTTATCTCAGTATTTAAAAAGCTTCATACTGCATGTTTTATTTGAAATAGTGTGTAGGAGGAGAATCAAAGAAAGTCATTCTGTATTTGGAAAAGAAAAAAAAGCACACTAATTCTACAGTGCAGGAAAGGCCCTTTGAAAGGTGTCCTTCACTTGCCTTTCTTTGAGGTTAATTATATACTTTTAAAAGTACTTCCCACAGGAATGGTTTTTGACTCATATGTTATTTTTGTGTGTATATGTTACCCCTCCAAATATTTGCCATATTACTAAGAAAATAGCAGTCAAAAGCAACGTTTTTTTGCTTATGTCTGAAAATCTTTTTGTTTTTTATTGTTAAGAGCAATATGACAATAAGACAGCTTTGCAAAGGAGAGAAATAACACCCTCAGCCTTACATAAATTTTCATCTTGTACTTTTCCTTTTACTTGAGACCATTTTAAAATGATTTTCTCACATGATTATATATAGGATGTGACAAAAGAAGACTGGTTAGAAAGTGAAATTAAATTATGTAGCACCATTTTCTCTTTTCTTTCCAGTAAGCATGTTTGTCTTCTTTTTCAGAGTAGAAGAATAGGCGATTACAAGACTGGTTTTGTTTTAGAAATTGAGGATTTTCTTATAAAAATTAGGTGCTCATAGCCTTATACACTGAAAGATGTCTCCTTTCCTCCACCATCCACCCCCTCCTCCAAACGTACCACCTCCTTTCTTCCTTTCTACCTTGTGATCTCTGACCTGTGCATGTGACATGGAATGTCAGGTGACAGCTAGGTACAAAAAAGTTCGATGATTATTGAAATATCATGGTGACTCACACATTTCAGTGAGGACATGGGGACATTATTTTATTTGAGTAGATATGAGTCAACTTTGCTACTCAGAAAAGGTGGCAGAATTTCGCTGCAGCACACATCACAAATCATATTAGGGATGCAATAGCATTGTCAGAGTTGGCGTTACCTACTGCAGCAAAACAATTTCTAAAGACAAAAAACTAGTTTTGCTGCAGTTGCCTGGCAATAAAGGAAACTGTAAATCATACATAAATGAGCAGCTAAGCAGATTAAGAACTTGAACAATGGTCCTTGAGAATAGGAACATTGCAGAACCTTTATGCAGATCCACTAAGCCAATGTAGAGGTGATCATGTATTCAGGACCATACTGATCTCTACTCAGTCTCAGTTTTGGTGCCAAAGATGCTTCATGGCTTACATATAACAAAGAATCTTTAACCTTTGCTTTGCTGTCAGATTTTAATTTATACCTGTATTTATGTCCCAAATAAAAACAAAATGATCAGGCAAAATGTGAAATTGAGAGGATAGTCAAGACCATAAAATTAAACGTTCTAATTGAGTCTAATTAAACATTCTTTTTAAAAGTTGGCCTGATTATAGAAACTTTTTGATATGGCAATGTGTGACTGATATGGTGGCATCTACCTAGATATCAAGAAATCAAACATGTTTGGTTCCTGACAGCCACTGCCCTTGAATATTCCATTTATATTTATATTTCTTCTATCTTTTGTTTTTTCCTCATGTTTTTCTTTAGACGGCCCGCAAATATATGACTAAATATTGTTCTATTTTTGCTCTTTTTTTAGATGGTTTTAAGTACAATCTCTTGATTTGGAATATGTGCGCATTTTATGAATGGGAAGCCTTATGTACCTTGCCTGTGAACATTCAGAATCTCAGCCAGAGTTGAGACTCTAACCACATTATTCTCAATACTACTTCAGTTTTCTTTCAGCTTGCCTTATGCCAACCTTTTTCAATGATTACTGTTTCATATGTTCTAAAGCCTAAAGCAAATGAATAAAAGGCCAAAAGATTAGCTAATTTCCATGAAAACTGATATAAAAACACCATGAAGGGTATTTTGTTTAACTTCTGGACTAGAAGGGACCCTAAGTCACTTACAGGGTGGTTTCCCCAAGTCCTGACTCTCAGCAGCCTCACAATCTCAGTTTGAACATTGATATTGATGCTTTCTGTGCTAGAATTGGTACTGATGCTGAACTGTGCCAGTCTTTAGGAAGACTGCCCTCAACTGCATCAAAATTAACCTCCTTAAAACTTTGGTTTACTTCAACTGAATCTAGCAATTACTGACTACTAGGAATTTATGTTGGCACTGGGTTACAGAGATCAGTAAGGAAGACACAATTTATAAGGCACTTAATGTTTAGTGAAAATGATGATCAGGATTTTTTTTAGGGTGAATAACAGAAACCCACACAAACCACATGACACAAAAAGAAAATTTGTAAGAAAGATTCAATGACTAATCTAGCATCATGTTCTGGAGGATCAAGGCACTCAAACCACATCAAGAGCAATCCATCTCTTTAAAACTCTAAGCTTTTCTTTTCTCCGTTTTAGTTTTTTTTTGCTGTCAGGCTCTGTCCAAGTGGTGGGAGACATGATCCTTAGTAGCTCCTGGCTTATGTGAGCCTTAAAGTTGGAATCTCAGAGAAATGCAAGTGCCTTTTCTCTAATAGTATGAGCAAAAATCCAGTGGAGGACTCTGAGCAGGTTTGCATCATATGACACCCCAGGAGGGGGTCTAGGTGTTATTTGGACAGGGTGAGCATAAGCATTTAGCTGTACCAGGACCATGTAAAATAGATTCCCCACAGAAGGATTTTATTACTAGAAGACACAATGAAAGGGGAGCATACTTGCAGGAAAAACTGTATCTACCATGGTTCATTATGTTGAAGGACATAGCGTATCTCTAATATTTGAAAAAAGAAAAGTAACTTGCCACTGCATCTCTACCACAAATATGTCCACATGTGCAATGCATGTGCATACATACATACTGCTTCTATTAATTTTCCTGTCAACCAAGAAACATGCTGTGATGGTTAATTTTATGTGTCAATTTGACTGAGCTGAAGGATGCCCTGATAGCTTGTAAAACTATCTCTGTGTGTGTCTGCGACAGTGTTTCCAGAAGAGATTAGCATTAGAATTGGTGACTTGAATAGAGAGTCCTCTCTAATATGGGCAGGCCTCATCCAATCAGTTGAAACCTACATAGGACAAAAGGTAGAGGAAGGGTGAATTTGGTTTCTCTGTTTGAGCTGGGATATCCTTTTTCTGACTTCAAATATTGAAGCCCCTGGCAAAAAGGAACTCTACTTTTATAGAGTCAATGTCTTGTGGAACCTGAAAATTCAGATTTTTATACAAAATGGGAACAGAACCAATAAGATATAGATAGAGGATTCAGTGTATCACATGAGCCATTCTGCCTAATATTGTGTCATTGGAAAATATGGTAAAAATGTCTTCTATTTTCATTCATGTCATTTATAAAGGCGTTGGGTGGAATAGGTTTGTTGATTGATGGGGTCTTTGTTCAAGGACTGTCAGGCCTTTGGACTAGGACTGAATTATACTAGTGGTTTTCCTGGTTCTCCAGCTTGCAAACAGCAGATTGTGGGACTTCTCAGTCTCTATAACCTTGTGAGCCAATTCCTATAATTATCTATCTATCTATCTATCTATCTATCTGTCTGTCTGTCTGTCTGTCTGTCTGTCTGTCTGTCTATCTATCTATCTATCTATCTCTTTCTTATTAGTTCTGTTTCTGTTTTGTATATGCCATTTAGAAAAATGAGTTGGTTTCGAATGTTTTAATGCAGTTGTTTCAAAATTAAAATCTGAATTTTCAGGTTTCATAATACATTGACTCTATAAGGATAGCCATTTTATTTTTGGTCAGCCTATCTTTAGTGCCTAGAACAATATTATAGTGCTTTGAACACAGAAGTAACTCAATAGCTATTTATTAAATTGAATTTCATGAGATTATTTGGAAGATGGATTCTTTGTATCACATAAACCATTCTGTTTAATATTGTCTCATTGGAAAATATGATAAAATGCCTATATTTTCATTCATGTCATTTATAAAGATGTTGATGGGGATAGGGCCGTTGATGAAGCCTTTGTACAATTTTCAAAATTCATTCACTTAAGTTCTATGGTGATTATCCAACCATGCCATAGAGCCTCCTGTCTGCTTTTTATTTCAGCTAATAGTGCTACATCACTTCCACAGTATTATTAGGAAACATTTGGTAAGTGCTTATGGCAGTTCTATTTAATGTATTTTCTAATAATTAGACTTATAATGGTATCATTATGAAGAATGATATTAGTTTAGCAGGGAATATTTTCTAAATGAGTCGGTTTTAGCTTTTGGTGATTGTCCCCTTATTTTCTATATGACTATAACTGATTTGTTTATTAGCAGCTAATTCTAAATGTTGGTCAGGGGCAAAGGTCTCTCCTATATTCTGACACGTCTAAGATCTGAAAGGTCAATTGCATCAACTGTATGTGGTCAGCAGAGGGCAGTGTACAAGAGGAGTGGAGTACAAAGGTCTTCAGGCTGGGAAAGCTGTATCCGCAGTTCCCACCTGACGGTCGGGTTGGTGGCTGAGAGATGCTATAGCTGCTAAGAAAAACATGTTTGTGTGAACTCCTAGTCAAATAGGGAGGGGCAAGACTAGAAGCAGGTGGTAAGAGAAGTATGCGTGTGCCTGAGGGCAAAAGAATAACAGTAATCATAATTAATAAATTTATTGATCAGCTACCATTTGCCAAACTGAACTAAATACTAAACATATCTCTCAATGACTATCACAACAAATTTGTGAGGGCAAAAATTTTATTCTTATTTTGTAGATGAGGAAACTGAGTTTCAGGAAGGTTGGGCAGTTTGCTCAAAGTCATACAAATAGCAAGCGAAGGAAGGAGAATCTGACTGCCAAGCCTTTGTTATTCCGGCAGTGTCTTGTTGCCTCACAAGAAAGAGTGAAAATTATTTTCCCAGGAATCTATGAAAGGGAGGAAGGAAGAAGAGAGAAGCAGAATGCAGCCAAGAGGCAGCCTCAGAGCCTGTTAGCCTGGCTGGCCCTGCCAGCTGGCCAGAGTCTAAAAATATCAAGCTCTGGGTCTTCAGTTGCTAAGGCATATATTTTTTTCTTTTCATGATTGCATTTGCTCATTTCCAGTCTCTGGCATCTCTCTCCTCCCCTTCTGTGCCTTAGAGATAGGAGCAGTAGGCCTGTCCCACACTTTGGGGCTGGGGGATTTGACTGGACCTGTGCACATGAATCCCTCACAGTGACCCTGTACTCTCACATGACTTCCTTTCCATCTGGGGCCTGGTCTTCACTCAGTTTTAGTTTCCTTCCTTGGACTGTAAGTCTTTTGAAGTGCAGATATTGTGTGTTTCTTTGAACATCTAATATAGTAGCTTGCACAAATGCATGAAGACTGTTTATTGAATGAAGGAACTGAGATCATCCTTCATGGAGAAGTAAAAAGCCAAGTTACGGTTGAGTGTCTTGCCTTAATTCTATCCCACTGACATCCTTCCAGCTGAGTGTCTATTCCTTGACCATCATCTCATGATGACCCATTTCATTATTCCCTTTGTCTCTAGAAATTTTAGTGGTTTCTGGATTCCGGATTTCCCTGATAGAGACGTGACACTATACTTGCCCTTAGCTTCATCGCTGTTAGCTGCTTTGCCATTTTGATACTTTCCATAATACGCTCCTTAAAAATCTAACATAAAACGAGAGCTATTTGTCGGTTCCTTCTTAGATACAGGCTGACATCTCAGGCTCTCCTTTCCCTGATGTAAGACCTAGAAATTCACCCTCTATTTTTCTCCTTTAATGACTATCCTCACCTACTTGTTCTCTTTAGGCTCCCTCTCTTCAGACTGATTGTGGAGCATAACATGGTCTTATCTGCTAATACCTACTCCCTTCTTTATTATAACCCCAGTTAAACTCATAGGCTGTTTTTATTATAAGCAAAATAAGTAAGTAAGGTGAAGTAGAAAAGCTCTGCCTGTCATGATGTCCCTGGTTTATAGCTCCTAATTCCCTCACCAAGGTCACAGAAACCTTGATCTTATGATCTCAGCTTTTAAGACTGAAAATGGTGCTCACCAAAACCTGCCTCATCATCCAGTTTTAGTAAAACTAGGATGACCCCCCTGCAACAGAGACAGAGATGCAGCTACCTCTCCGTCTCACGTGAATATTTTGCATCTTTTGGTTGTTCAGATCTACCGATACTCAGTTAAGTGGGCCTTTGGGCTACTTAGTGATAATCCTCTCTTAACATTTTCTTATAAAATACCTCTTTTTTTCTCTATTTTTGGTATTATTTTCAAAAACATATCCTGAACTTAATTTCTTAGTGGTTCCATCCCCTTGAGTTCTATTTCCTTTTAAAGTTTCTGGTAGACAGAGTCCGAATTTTTCTTCCTCTGATTGATTTACAGTTCCTTTTCCTGAGGTCCGTGGAACCAACATGGATCAAGATGTTCCTGGTGTCCTCCTGGGCAATGCTGATGACATAGCCAAATTTTCTCAAGGTTTCTGTCACTCTCCAAACTTCATCTCAGTTTTATTTGTAGGTAGGAATTGAGTAGTGAATCCTCTTCCCCATCTTTGATAATAATCTATATCATATGATGACAATATTTCAATTTCTTGCCTCAAATTCTCATTAGAGGAACAGGTACAAGTTTTTAATGGCATCTTTGGAAGATCCACTAAGATAACCTCAAGTATGGGACTTAGCATGTCCAAATGAAACTCATTACTTGCCCCTGTCTCTTGTCTTCCAAATGAGATTCTCCTCCTGTAATCCTGATCTTGGTTGTAATCTCAAAATCTAGTCCGTTTATTATATAAACCAGAAGCCTTAGATTCAACATTAATTCATCATCCTGACTCCTCAAAACTGGTTAACTGTTAATTCCATCTTTGATCCCAAATGCCACAACACAAATTTAAGCTTTCCCATTTTTCAGCTGGGCTGTTATAATTACTTCCATACTACCTTTCTTTTTGTTCCCCCCTCCAGTTATTTCTCACCATCACCAGATTCTCTTTTACAAGGAAAATCTAATCCTGGCATTTCTCTGCTTAGACATCTTGGATTGATTTTTCATATCTAGGATGATTTCCAAAGTCCTACCATCATCAGGAGTTTGGCTGGTAACAGAAACGTAACAAGTCCTCACTGGCATGAAAGGTTTTTCACACACTGCTCTTCTGTCCTCATCTGGAGCTATTTAGCACCACGCAGCAGCCACCAAGAACTTCTCGTTATTTCTGAAACACACCTTTATTTTTCATAATTATATAATTTTGTTCAATCAATTGCCTCTAAAAGCCCTTCCGTAACCTCTAATAGCGAATGAACCCTTTCTTCTTAAAGGGTAAAGTTTTCTGATCCCCTTCCCTAACAAGGCCATTATATGATAAAGTAAGTAAAGTAAGCTGGAAAGTAAATTCCTTTAAGGGAGAGTTTGCTTTGTTGAAATGATGATCTAATAAGCCCTCTGTGGGTTGAAGCAAGCCTCCATGACCTTCAGGTCAAATTGTAGCTTAGATTTCCTGAGGAAAGAAAAGCAATTCTGCCATACAGAGAGAAGAACAGGAGCCAAGGACATCTGAGAATGGGGGAGAAGATAAAGTGAGGGGTCCTACATGCAGGCTGGAAATTTGGAATTGCTTTTGTTGTTGAATCATTAAAAGCTTTTAAGCTATGGAGATACCTAATTGGAGTTGTATTTTTGAAGCACCATTTAATCAGCAGTGTGATAGATAGTTTGAATTCTGGGGTAGGCATGGAGATAGGATAACCTGCAATAACCTAGACCATGAGTTAGCATTTTTTAAAATATATATCAAGAGTAAGACAGTAAATATCTTTGCCTTTTTAGGCTGTGTATGGTCTGTGTTGCCACTACTCTTTTCTGTCATCATTGCCTGAAAGCAGTCCTAGACAATGTGTAAATAGTGGGCCTGGCTGTCATCTAATGAAACCTTGTTTACAGATATAGGTGGAGGGTCAGAATTTGGCCTAAGGGTTATAGTTTGACAATCCTTGACCTGCACAAGCAACAATGAGGGCCTAACCTAAACTAGAATAGAGTTAGTGGAGATAAAAAGAAAGATAATTAGTAAAACTTGGTAAAGAACTGGGCACGGAGGGGAGGAGGTGAAAGGAGGAAGAATCAAGGTAAGTCTCAGGAGGCCAGCATAGGCTGCTAGGTATTGCTACCATCTGAGATTCAGAATATAGGGGAGTATGCTGGGTTCATTTTTCATTTTTTCACTGGCTGAATTTTAGGTGCTTGAGGGATAGGTAGGGGCAGCAGTACATGGGCAAGAGAATATTTCTGAGGGACTTTTGACTGTCATAGGAAATGTTGCTGTCATAGTTCTTCAGATTCCCCCATGTTGCATTCGCTCACATTTAAAATATTTTCCTTTTAATCATCTCACATAGAGAATGGACCATTTTGAATCCGTTTTATGTTTTCTCCTTATAAGAAATAGGCCCCTTGTAACCAAGGCAACTATGAATGGACCCAAACCTTCAAGGGTGATTTTTCTCATGCAACAAGAAAACAGACCTATTATTTTTTCTGGAAGATTTCAGCCTCCCATCGGGCAGTTTAAGTTCACTTCCATGTGGCAGGTAGAGATCCTTTCTGCTCTTTTGTCTGAAGTTTGGTCAACCAGAAATTTGTGTTTGCCCAGTAAGTCCCCCTCTCTCTGCCTCCCATTTCTTGTTCCAACTGTGTACTGTTCAAGGGAACACTTGACACCAGAAATGGCCTTTCCTTTACTTTCGACAAGAGCCAGAGTTTTTCATAGTATGAAACCATAGTTTCAAGATCTCACCTTTCAGAAGTGATGAAGACTGAATTGCCTAGAGATGCTTTAGTGACATTTTGCTAGGGGGTAAGGACTGCCATCTCTCTACCAAAGAAATCTTTCCTGGATCGATTTCCAGAACCACAGGCATTGATCCCAGCAGCCACAGTATGGCTCTGTGCAGGAGAAGAAAGGGCCAAGACTCAAGGGACCCAGACTTCTGGAAGTGTCATTGAGCATTTGCCTAGCCTACCATATCTTTGAATACCATATCTTTTTGTTGAAACATAATAAATCCCCATTTTCTGAAGCCACATGGAGGCCTTATTATTGCTTCTAATCTTTGGAGTATTTAGGACAGAGAATAAGCACAGCTTGGAGTGGGGAATCAATAAATCAAACACTATATCAGTGGTTTTCAATTCTACTTACACATTAAAATCACCTTGGGAACTTTTAGCAGATACTGATGCCCAGATCAATTGAAAACAAATCTCTGGAGATAGGGTGTGATAATTTGTACGTTTTCAAATCATCCAAGATGATTCTAAAGTGAAGTAAGCTATGTTGAGAATCATTGCACTAGAATCAAGATTTAATTTTTGATCATTTAGAAAATGGCAGAGAAGTAAGAATTAAACACCACTCTCATCTGCTAGCCTGTGAAGAGCTAATATTTAACCAGGTAGCCATATTTACTCAAAGAACATACTCTAATCATTAAAAGAGCTTTAAAAATGGCATCTACCGAAATTACCAGTTCACTATCATACCCCGCTCATCCTTGTCTATGCCTGTCCTGTCTTCTTCTGGGTCGACTGACCATAAATGCATAAAATAACATTTGATTATAAATAGGTTTCCCAAGTTAAACAGGCAACCCTTTAAAAACCATATTACAGGCCGGGTGTGGTGGCTCACACCTGTAATCCCGGCACTTTGAGAGGCTGAGGCGGGCAGATCACGAGGTCAGGAGTTCGAGTCCAGCCTGGCCGATATGGTGAAACTCTATCTCTACTAAAAGTACAAAAATTAGCCGGGCATGGTGGTGCGTGCCTGTAGTCCCAGCTACTTGGGAGGCTCAGGCAGAAGAATTGCTAGAACCCAGGAGGCGGAGGTTGCAGTGAGCAGAGATCGTGCCACTGCACTCCAGCCTGGGCGACAGAGCAAGACTCCATCTCAAAACAAACAAACAAACAAACAAACAAACAAACAAATGGATATTACCTTCAATAAGAGTAGCCATTCTTCTGCCTTATGTTCTAAAGAAAATCGGATATCTTTATTTGTCTATTTATTTAGAGACAAGTTTTCACTCTGTTGCTCAGGCTGGAATGCAGTGATGCGACCACAGCTCACTGCAGCCTTGAACTCCTGAGCTCAAGCAATGCTCCCATTTCAGCCCCCCAAGTAGCTGGGACTACAGGTATGTGCCACCACACACAGTCAAATTTTTATTTAATATTTTGTGGAGGTGGTGGTCTCACTCTATTGCCCAGGCTAGTCTTGAATTTCTGGCTTCAAGTTATCCTCCCACCTTGGCCTCCCAAAGTGCTGTGATTACATGTATGAGCCACTGTGCCTGGCCTGGATATCTTTAAATGCTGCATCCTAAATATACATAAGTGAAATACAATAAACACAATATGTGAAATATATGTCAACAATGTCTACTGACTGAGTGACTACAATGTTTTGGGCTATAGTTCAGAGAAATAAACCCTTGAATTAGTGCTCAGTTTGGAGGGAAGATGTGAGATGTCAATGAATAGTGGCAGAAAACTAACATATTGGGAGCAGTATGCCGACACTGGGCAAGCTGAATGGCAGATGAGAAGCACAAGGAAGGAGGGCAAGGCAGAGCTGGGCAGAGAAGGCTCCATGGAAAAAGTGGTATGGAAGCTGAACCTGGAAGGAGGCTAGACTTTGAGCATGTGGCTGTTAGGTCAAGGGTTTCCCAGATGAATGAGTCCAATGAAAATAAAAAGTTAGGATCATTGTTGTATTTTGGTGAAGTTTAGGAAGCAAGAAAAGAGAGATCTGAAACGCTCACTTTCATAACAGAAATAGTTTGTTTTTCATTTTTCATCAATGACAATTTTCAAATGCATATTTTATTCTCCTTTCTCTTTTAAGATAGCCATCTTAGAGTTAAGCTTTGTTTCCTAGTTTTATAAATAAAACCATTGCTCCTCGATGAATCATAATGCAGCATAGTATTAAGTGTTCAAGGTTAGGTATAGGAAGCTCAACAGTGTGGAAAATGTAAATATGATTTCTCATATTTTCTTGCTTAATTGCTAGATAGCAAGTCTCAGGCATTACTCAGAACCACAGCGGATGTGGGAGATCCTAAAATAGATTCTTTCCCTTTGTCAGATCATACATTGCAATGGAGAAGGGCACAGCCAGGTAGTCTGGCTGATCACAGGTTTGTATTGAGTCAAGTCCGGTAAACTCAGGTAAAAATAACAGCAAAGCACCCTCTAGTCCTGGGTCATTCGCTATTTAAGTAAGCAAAGAGAATCAATTCAGTGACCATGTAAGAAGCACCTACTTTAGGTTTGGCTATGCTAATGATGAGGCATCAACATTTAAGGCACACTCAATCTCTAGGTGATGAGCTGTATATAAAGAGATGAGGCACTGGTCTTTTTTTTTTTTTTCTCCTTTTCTTTTCAATGAGCCAATATTACATTGGTGACTAAAAATTGTAACAACATGTGCCCTTCTAGCGATGAAACTGCTTAAGACATCAAGGCTCTGCTTTCATTTTGTCCTCCCATAGACCCTTACTCTCTTGCCTAGGTTTTCAGCTAAATATTTTGAAATAGGGACTTATGATTAGACTAAAATTCCAGAACATAATCTATATCTAATGTCTTCTGTGTGATGCGTCAACTATTATTAGACTACTGTTTAAAATGCTACATGTATATTTTTGATAATCAGGTGATTTTTACCTCTGAAAATGAAAACAAAAAGTTCTAGCCCAAATATCACTAGGTGTAACTAATCTACACATAGTGAATGAGAGGACCTCCCATTTGGCCATGCTGAGGTTTCTTTAAGTGGCTGTCAGCCCTTCTGGCCTGCATCCTGGAAATGCAGCTGCAGAATGCATAGCAGCTCCTTGAGGCTAATCATGAGGAGGGGGAGGCTAGTCGTTCTGGCTGCACAGTGGGTACTTTGCCCTTGTGTTAGGCTTCAGAAATTAGCCTATCTGCCTGGAAAACAGGCAATAGCATCAGCAAAGAACAAGGGCTAGAAACTCAGTGAGAAGCTTCCACTGACCTAAAGAAGCCTGTTAGGACAACTGCTTATAACTTCCATACAAGTTTTTCCTTTGGTGTCACAGCTTAAAGGGACTCAAATCTGTGTGGCAGTGTTGGATGCCATGCATAGGGGTGCTATGGATGACCTCTCAGTCCAAACTGCAGGGTAGCTGAGCAGGGGAGCTAACACCGTAGGGTGGGTGAACACACACCTTGTCAGAGAAAGAAGACTAGAACTGTGTTGAAAGGCCAATCTGGGCCTTATTCCAAGGAATAACTAGTGTGGGGCAGATTCTGGATGTTGGGATACTGAGAGATGAATAATAGCTTCAGAAGTAGAAAAGGAGTATAAAATAATGGGGGAGGCTGGAGACATTTACCACCAATGGGGATGGAATGTCCAATACCCATTTTTATTGGCCTACTATGGAGAAATCCATGGGACTGGGCCTGGTTTAAAGAAATAGAGTGGAGAGAATATTTGCATAGCTGGGAAGGAAAGGGACTCTCTTTTCCTTAAGGCAATGCTCCCTAGTGGGCTTTGGATAGATGAGTTGTGAGTATCTAATCCAGGAATCCTAGAGCTGCAAGAGGAATTAAGAATACTATAGGGGCTCAACAGAACTAATCTGAATCTGAATGGACGTTGTTAGAGAGGGAAGGTGAATGGGAGGAAGAATGCTAGAGGGGCTCAACAGAAGTAATTTGGATCTGAACGGAAGTTGTTAGAGAGGGGAGGTGAATGGGAGGAGGGACTGCTTCCTTGAGGAAAGTGGAAACCTGGGCATGGAAAGGAATGAGACTTCTGAAGTGGATAGCTCTCAGGCTGGGATAAAGGAAGACAACAAAGCCTGAAAGCCCAAATCAGGGCTTGAGGTTTTATGGGAAGAGCATCAGGAGGAATGGGAGGTGAAGTGCCATGCCTGTTGGTGGCTGCTTCCTTCAAGTAGCCAAACTCAGGACAAGAGAGGGGAGCATTGTTCTTGCCTTCTGGGCAGTCCTGATTTAGTTACGTGGGGAGTGGCTTAAGAAATGGGGAGATTACATTGGAGAAGATGGCTTGGGGCAGGGAGTTTGAGAGCACATTGCACCATTTTGAAGGACCTTCCTTGGCCAGAAACGGGGCCCAGCTCTGTGCAGCCTTGAGGGCAAGACCAGGACCAGTGAGGAGACACTGACAGTCAGAGCTGTCCAATGCTGGCTGATGGGGAGCATCCCAGGGTAGGGGGCTACCAGGCAAGGGCTGGCTGTTCATTTCTGGAAATGGTAGAGAGGAAAGGATGTCATCATGCTGAGAGTTGGAATGGTGACTATTAACGTCCTTTCTATGAGGTGACTCTGGCCCATAGCAGTAGGCATCCTGGATATGAGGGAAGGCAGGGGATGTCTGCAAGGCTGGACCACAGGACAGACATTTCTGGGGAGAGGATTGAGGAGAGGATTGAGGAGCATGGTCTCTTGAAAGGTTGGCCTGTGAGTCCCAAAGCTTTTCTCAATGCAGTGTGAGAGAAGATGGTGACATCCTGGAATAGAACCAAAGTTAGAGGTCAGAGGAGAAAGGGAATAGGGACATAAATAGTCCCTGAAGTGAGAAGGCAACAGGGGAGATTGGAAATGCAGCAGGGTCTAAGAGGTCCCAGAGGGTGGCTGAGGATCTACTTCTGAAAGCCCTGCTTGTCCCCCAGGTTGCCCCTTTTTTGCTGGTCCTGGTGCTTGTCACCAGAAAGAGGCAGATTCCTGAAGGGAGCCAGCTGGGTCCTCAGCAAACTGAATAGCATGGGAGGGGCCCACATGGCATTAGTGCAACAAGAATGGTTGAGTGATAGAGATGGACTTTGGGAAACCCAAATGGGAAAAGAGTATGGTGCTGCCCCTGATGCTTCACCCAGACAGCTCCCTGTAAATATTCCATTGCCTCATATCTATGAGTCATGTCCCACTCTCCAAGAAGCTTTCCTTTATGCAAGAGAAGATTATTGTTACCCTGGCAACCACAGAGCCTCCAAAATACAGTGGTGTACTTTTGTGGTATCTTCATAAACACCTTGATTATATCTAGTGTCTAAGTATGTGTGAGCAATAGGTTGGATACAGGTAGTAAAGTTTGTTAAATTGAATGAAGTTCACTTCTTGCCCAGAAAAATAATATGCTTCTTGTTCTCAGGGGATGCTAGTCCTTGTGAGCCACACAGCTGTTGAATAATGAAGCTGAGGATGCTGGGAAAACAGGCTCTTGTTAGATAAATGAGGTGATATTTCCATGTCAGCCTATTGTAGTATGATGATCACAGCTTTGAGGTTAGAAAGACAGGGTTCTAATCCTGGCCCCATCATATATTAACAGTGTGACTTGGGTAAATCCTGTAGGTTTCCTGAGTTTCTTCTTTCTCATCTGGAAATTGGATATGCTGCATCAGTTTCACTGGCTGTTGTGAATGACCTGGTCTATTGTCAACAAAGCCCTCAGAAGTCAGGCAGGATTGTCTCTCATGACCTAGATCAAGGTGAGTTCCCTTCCTAGGTACTCATCAGGTGCTAGGCCATGCTAAAAGCTGGAGTGAAACTGTTTCAATCAATGCCATGAATAGAGGCTCTCAAGCTAGTAGACATCTAGATAAAGTTGTCTAACACACTTACAGATGGGAAACTGAGGTCAGAGGAGGAGAGTGACCTAGTAAGTCAAGGCGTGTGTGGGCACTGTACCCTATTTCTTCCTGTTCCTTGGCTTTTTCCGCTATGCCACAGTAATGGCAGCTTGACCAAAGGAATGGCTCTTGACTGGCAGGAATAAACAGTCACCAATATTTATTGAATACCTGCTTCCAATTTTGTAGTGGTTATGAACATAGGCTTGTGAGCTACACTATTGGGGTTCATCGGCTCCCACACTTATTAGGTGCATGACTTTAGGCAAGTCACTTACCCTCTCTGAGCCTCAGTTTCCTCATCTGTACAATAGGGGCAATAATAATTGTTTATGGAGATTAAACAATATGCTATTTTATATGTATATTTATACCTATATATCTTGGAATAGCACCTGGAACATAGTAAGCACTATATATAAGCATGTGCTGCTATTATTGCCATTGGTAAAGACAATGAGAAATAATTAGGTGATGATATGTCCTAGTTTATGCCTGTTGTCCTGGAATAATATTTTAATATTGTATTTTTTGACTCTTAAGAAAGTCCTAGTTTGGGCAATAAATTAAATGGTCACCCTGGCTATGATGGGGGGGAAATCCACTGGTCAGTCAATCAAGAGACCTAGCTCTGTCAAAAAAATTCTGTGAGAATTTGGGCTCTTAACCTCTTTGAGTCTTAGTTTCTTTATCTTCCAAATGGATATTTAGTCCAAATCAAATTTAAATTCATGCCAGCATCCAATTTTGGTATGTCTACTATATACAGAGCACTATTCAAAACACCTAACATTATGTAAAAATCAATAGGACATGCAAGTGAATGTTTGTCCTTACCAAAGCTTTCATCTTGATGGGATAAAACATGGTGGATGATGGGTAAGATGACCCAGAAACAGGAGAGGATATTTTGTTTTCAAATATTTGATGGTTTAGTGGAAGTGACTATTAGAGATGGAGAGTCATCACGAAGTTATGTATGCTTAGTGGTCAATGAGTGAGAAGGAAGGAGATGGGAGGCCATTCAGGGTTGCTTACTTAGAGAGGACTTTCTGTTGGAGCTGGACTTTGGGCTGGTGTTGAGAAGAGAAATGTAATGCGAAAAGCATGGCTTTGAGTTAAACAGACTAAAGTTTAATCCTGGTTCTTTCATTAGTTGTGTACCTTGAATACCTTGCTTAACTTTACTGAGCTTCTAATTCCTCCTCTGTAAAATGGAAGCAGCAATTCCTGCAATGACTTAAATGTAAGACTAGATGAATCCTATGAGATGATTAATAAATGGCCGCACTTATTTTTATGGGCAGAGAGGAGTTGAAAAGCATTCCAGATATGTGGCACAAATGAGTGTAATCACAAAGGAAGGGAACTATAGAGGATGCTGGAAGTCAGTGAACGGTGCTGTTTGCTGGAGTTGAGGATTTATGTTGGAGATAGTGGGAAATTGAAGTGGACTCAGACTCACTTGACCCACATGCATTTGTCCTCAGCAAGAGATTCCTGACATTTCCATAGGCCCATTGACTTCATGTGCTCTTGCAAATTTGCAAGAACTTCCAGGAGCCCTAGAAGTTTAATACTATTTTGCTATAATTAGACTTGAGCTAGAAAAACCATTTGACACTTGTCTATAACATCATAAGACATGCTAATCCAGATGTGATGCTTATAACTAGCTGGCATATGAATGGTGCCTTTCACTGTATCACTGGGCTAAATGACTTTTCATCTGGCAGTTAGAAAGCCCATTGAAGAACTGTCTAACAGCTTTTCTTTTTTGGATTTATGATATAGTTTACATAAATCTGCAAAATTACCAAAAGACATTCTTAATGTGGTGAGAAGCTGTATTAAAGCATCAGCAATGCAGCTCAGATTTTGAAGTGCAGGGGAGAGAAAGGCAGCCAGGCCTGACACTGGAGCTCACTGAATTATTGATAAGGGCTGCTATAGGTCAGCAGAAGGCTTGACCTCAGTGGACTCCTAGCCTCAGGAGCAGAATTTAGGGAACACATCACTCTTTAAATCTCTCTGCTTCTTTTTAAAAAGTTCCTGTTTCTTCCTCAGAATTATGTTCAGAATGTTAATGCTTTCACAGTGTATTAATTTAGTATTTTATCTTTTTTGCACTTTTATTTTTCAGGAAATAATAGATATTACTTTAAAAATAAATTTAAATAAATATTAATAGTATTCTAGTAATAAAATTCAATAGCATTCTCAAATTAAGTTATTTAATATATTAAATTATATTAATATACATTAATATTAATAATACATATTTAAATAAATACGGCTCACGTTGGCAGAGGCAGGTTACAAATAACTATTATAATTTTATAAATGAGGACATTGAAGTTCATAAATTTAAAAAACCTGACTGAAAGTCCACAGCTATAGACAATTACATTCCAAAGTGAATGTTCAGTTAGTTGTCTTAGCCAAAGGGTGATCTGTGGGAAATGTCCCACAAAGGAAGTCAGGAAATGGAATTATTTCCAGTGTCACCACTTTTTAGCCCTCTATCTTTGGGCAAGACACAAACCTTCATCTATAAAATGATGATAACATTTGCTTTGTGTATCTCACAGGACTGTTGTGAAGACCATGTCAGAAAATAAATGTGTAAGCATTTCATAAGCCAGGAGGCATTATGCAAATAAATGCAAATATAGGCAATGTTAATTAGTAAATTATTCACAGGATCTTATTTCATTAATACCCTTCCTGCTTCCTGTAGCTCTTTTGGGAATTCCATTTCCAGTTAGTGAAGGCCAGGGCAATCTGTTGGCTTGCATCTGTCATTTACTCTACTATGAAACATTTGCTGTGTGCCAGCCATCATACTAGACACTGAGAATGCAAAGATGAGAAAAATGTGACCTCTCCCTTCTGGGACCTTAGTCTAGGTGAAGAAGACTAAGACTTACTGACTTAGACTTACTTACTTACTAAGACTTACTTACTTAGACTAAGATATGTATGATACAACTTGTAATCCAAAATTTTAAGTGACATTTTGTGAATAATGATTAAGAGCTAAGCACTGTGCTACTTCCTAGGGTTATAAAAATGTATAAGGCATAGTCTTTGCACTTGATGATCTCGATATCTAATAGGGGGCACAAGTAAATAAACAAACAGGAATAATGGTGAGCAGAGGCAAAATGGAGGTGAACCAAGTAAATACTTCAATGTCAGATAGAGGAATAGGTTCCAGGTTCTATGAATCAATTTTGTTACATGAAAAATAGGGCTGAAAACAACTCTTTGCTGGGTTGAGAATATCTGAAGCTTTAAAATTTTTAAAAAGGGAGTTCCTATGAGGGTGTAAATAAGATATTTGTCAAGGGCTCTGGCAGTGAAGAGGTGCTAAAAAGCAATAATACAATCAAAAGTGGCAGTGAGTCGGAAGTGAAGCACCAGAGAGCATTTCTGGTTTATTGGTCACCTGACAGTATTTACTGACACCCCCTCACACAGCACTGACCTGAGTCATCCTCAGTGCAACCCCCAGGAACTGCATTCAGATCAGGAACAGAATGAGGTTAATTAAAGAGAATGCATTTTTATATGGTCTTTCTATAATTTAGACCAAATTCTAGATTCTCATTTGGTCACCTTGGAGGGAAGATTGAAAACCTTTATTCTTGCGGAATATTTTCTTGAGTATAGAGATGGGCACAGACTGTTTCAGGAGCTATCTTTAGAAAGGACAATCTATTAGTGTCAAAGGTCTTCGGGATCTTAAGTACATGGATTGACTAACCTATTGAGAACATGGCCAAAAGAGGTTTCATGTTTTAATAGTTGCTGGATGTCTGCAGACATGAAAAGACATACATGCGTATGCCTCTTTAATGTTTCAGCAATACTGTGGAGGTTTATTACATTCATTTCTGTAATTTTGTTTGATTTGTTTATTGATGCTATCATAAGTGGTTTTCATTTTATTTGGTTATGGCTGGGTTGCAAACTACCCCAAAAGTTCATGGCTTAAAACAGTAATTTTGGATTTTAAAGATAATTTTTCTCACATTTCTGTGAATAGGCTTGGGTTAGCTGGATGGTTCTTACTTGAAGTTGTTCATGAGGTTGTAGCCAGATAGTGGCTGGTGCTGGAGTCTTCAAAAGGTTCTCCTGGGTTAGACATGCAAGGTGAATTTCTCATATGGCTGGCAGTCAATGCTGGCAAACAGCTCAGCTAGGGTTACCTACTGGAGTGCCTATAGGTGATCGTCTCATGAGGCTTGGCTTTTCCCTACTTGGTGGTTGAGTTCCAGAAATGAGTGTTTCAAGAAACAGGAAGTGGGAGCTGCTAGTGCCTAGAGGTACAACTTGGAAAATGCCAGAATTATTTGTACCATATTATTTAATGTGAATTTAGGGAGACTGCTCAGGTTTAATGCAGGTAACATAGATGCCATCTCTTGATGTATTTGTAATACAATCAAAGTATCATCAAATGCAAGAGAGAGAGCATAGAATTAATTTTCTGATAAGACGAGTGTTAAAGGATTGGTGTTCATCTTTAATCTGTCAGAATATTGATTTTATTTCCAGTTTTTCATTGCTAATATATTAAATTAATACTGATATTTTATGATGATCTTGCTTCTGTGATATTGGTTTATTAGGTTATATATTATATATGTTTATATATATTTATATAGATATTATATGTGCATTTATAATATATTCTTCAAGTTATCTACGTAAACAATCCTGCCCCCTGTAAATATGACTATCATTACTTAGTCATTATATAGCACCTTTTAATATATTGGATTCAATTTGCTAACATTTTGTTAAGGATTTTTGTGTCTGTGTTTGTGAAGATTATTGATGTGGACCTTTCTTTTTGCCTATTGTTTTTGTTTCATAGTGCTCATAGAGTAATTTGGAAGTATTTTCTCCTCTTCCATTTTGCAAATATTTTGTATAGAATTGTTTTTATATTTTGTTTAAATGTTTGGCAAAATTCACCACTGAAACCATCTGAAACTGATATTTTCTTTGTGAAACGTATTATAACTACGAGTTCATTTAAAATAGATATAGGGGTATTGAAGTGATCTATTTATTCTTGAGTTAGTTTTGGTGGTTTGTATCTTTCACATATTTGTTCATTCCAATTAAATTGGAAAATTAATTGACATAACGATAGTTTTTATAGAATCTGTTGAGATATCACCTATCTTAATCATAATATTGACAGTAATTCAATTTCATTAATTTTTTCAATGGGCCACCTTTTGACTAAATCAATTTTCTCTTTTGTTTTTATGTTTCCTATTTCATACTCTTATTTTTGTTATCATTTGTATTCTGCATACTTTGGTTTCAATTTGCTTTTCTTTACTGTTGTCCAGAGATTAATTTGAGACCTTTGTTCTGTTCTAATATTCATTTTTTTTTTTGAGATGAGGTCTCACTCTGTTGCCCAGGCTGGAGTGCAATGGTGCAACGTCAGCTCACTGCAACCTTGGCCTCCCGGGTTCAAGCAGTTCTCCTGCCTCAGCCTCCTGAGTGGCTGGGATTATAGGTGCACACCATCATGCCCGGCTAATTTTTTGTAGAGATGGGGTTTCACCATGTTGGCCAGGCTGGCCTCGAACTTCTGACCTCAGGTCATCTGCCTGCCTTGGCCTCCCAAAGTGCTGGGATTACAGGTGTGTGCCACCATGCCTGGCCATATTCATATTTAATGTTAATGAATTTACCTTTAAGCACTACTTGCAGCTGTATCCTATATGTTTTAATATCTTGTACTTTATTTTTATTCTGTTCAAAATATTAAAAAATTTCCTTTGTGATTTATTGTGGGTTTGTATTCAATTTCATTAATAATTTCTCTGCAGTTTTCAATCTACTATTAAAACCAGCCAGTTAATTTTTATGTTAGATATATTTTTTTTAATTACAGAATTTCTATTTGGTTATGTTTAAGAGTTTTCCCTGAGATTTCCCCATCTCTTCACCAACTATATGAATCTCCTTCTATTAATTTCTTAATATATTTAAGTTGGTATTTTAAAGTCCTGGTCTACTAACTTTAATAGCTTAGTAATCTGTTGGTGTGCCTCTATTGACTACTTTTTACTTTTGCTTATGGACACATTATCCTGCTTCTTACTTTTTTTATTGTTGGCAGTTTTACATTGTATTTCACACATTGCATATTAAAGAACAGAACAGGCAAAAGCATAATATTTTTTCCCTCCAAAGTTTTGGCTTCGCAGTCTACTGTCAGTTCAGATGATGAGCTGATTATTTAGATTCCTTCACAAGTGAACTTGGTTTTTGGTAGACCTTACCTTTTACAATTGATTGAGCCAATTCAATACTCAACCTCTTGGGCCACTACTACTGATTTCTTTAGTCATGCCAGTATTTGAGCTGGCAGAGGGCTGGGCTGCATTTCAGTACAGTTTTAGTTTACCTTTGGATTCAACTGGAGCTGGAATGTCTCTGGAATCAACTACAATGAGAATGCCCAAGGTGACACAAATTCTTTTTCCTGCCCAGCTCCTTGACTGCTACTCTTTTTGCAAAAATTAAGGGAGGCTTGTGGGGCAGGGAGAGTTGTCAAGCAGAGTATTTCATGTTTGTTTTTAGTTCTGTGGCAAATCCTAATCTATCCCATTACCTCTCACTGTAATCAAAAGGCTCAACCCATTTGTGGGCTGATCCTTTCCAGAATTTTGGCCCCATGTACTGAAGCCTCTTCATCTCCTGGCTCACATATTAATGTCTTGCCTTTCTCTGGAATTCAGTTTGTCAAGGCTTAGAATCCTCTGCTCTTCAATAGACTCTTTAAAAAGTATAATTTTTAGTTTATCTATTTTGATCTTATCTTGAGAAGAGAGGTAATTCATATTCTTCTTCATCATAATCAGAAGCATAAGTCCCCATTAAAGAAAAATGGAAATAAATTTAACTGTAATCATCAAACTGTTAGAAATAAAGGTACAGCATGGTCACTGAGCAATCAAAACAAGTGAATGTTGTAAACAACTGGATGTACCTGCTGAATGTCTTGCATCTTAGAGAATGTATGACAATAAAGATATGGAAAAAGATGCAACAGACAAATACTGGAAATAGAGTTCATGTAACATATTAATATCAGACAAAATAGAAATTCTTTAGTAGTGATAACAGTGGTGGTCCATCTGGAGTGGCTGCTGCCATCACGCCAGCTGCAGCAGGAAGGCATGTCTGGGGCTGCACACTCCATGGAGCTGGAGGGACCTGGGGACAAGTGTCAGCCCTGCCCCTTCTGAGTTGGGGTGGGAGCTCTCTGGATGAAGCTACAGCCACCCAAACCATGACTGCAGACCTGGGCCACTCCATGAAGCAGGCAGGAGTCCCACTCTCCTGGGTGCAGCTGCAGCCACCCAAACCGCAGCTGCAGACCCAGGCATCCCTGCACTCTTAGGGGCCCGGGAAGGCCCTCTCCCTCACAGGCTCAGAAATGCCTGCTCCCACTGCCTGGCTTCTCCCTGCTGTCAGCACCTGCTCTAATCTCAGAGCAAAAGCAGGGGTAATCCTGGGCACTATCACAACCAGGCCATATGTGCACACCTGGGGCAGTGCTGACATGGCAACCCCCTACCACCTTGGCCCCTTCTGGACTTTGGGCACTGACAAGCATAGGAGGGAAGCCAATAGGGGGCAGAGGGCAATTTGGGGCTGGCCTACAGGGCCCCCTTGGCACTTATAGCCTGAGTGTCATGAATGGCAGCAGGAGGCAGACAGGTTTCTGTGTGGAAGGTAGTGAGTTCCTTGTGAGGTCCCACCTTCAGGCCAGGTAGGGCCTGAAGGCTGGGGGCTGGGCTGCCAGTCCCACGGACTGAAGTGGGAACCTGTGGTGCCTTTTCTGAGCCTGCCCAGGCCACCCATGGACCAATTGGTATGTACTTCCTCCCCTCTGCACCCATAAAAGCCCTGGGCTCTGCCAGAGCTGAGCAGATGTTGGGATGACTGGCTGCGGAGAGGAGCTACCCAATCCAGGGCCTCCCCTCTGCTGAGAGCAGCAGATGTCCAAACCACCTGCCTGAAGAGAGAGGTCACCCTCTCCAGGGCCTCCTCTCTGCTGAGGGATGAACTCTCACTGGGATGACCTGCTGGCAGAGAGGAGCCACCCACTCTAGGCCTCCTCTCTGCTGAGAGCTGCAGAGACCATGCGACAACCTGCCTGAAGAGAGAAGCCACCCACTTCACGGCCTCCTCTCAGCTAAGAGCTGAACACTCAATGGAACGACCTGCTTGCAGAGATGAGCTAGCCACTGCAGGTCTCCGAGCTGTTCTGACACTCAATAAAGCTCCTCTTCATCTTGCTCACCTTCCATTTGTCTGCATACCTCATTCTTCCTGGATGCAAGATGAGAACTCAGGAAAAAGTGCCTCTGGCCACAGAGGTTTCAGCCAGAAAAGCAATAACCCAAAGATCCCATAACGATAGAGATAAAAAGGACAACTTCAAAAAATAGAGTAAAAAATCAACCAAGAAATAACAATTACAAATTTGTATGCATGTAATAACCTACTCTTCAAACATATCACACAATAGCTGACAAAAATATAAATAAAAGTGGACAAATACACAATAATAGTAGGAGATTGTAGTATACCTCTCTCAAGAGTGGATATATGAAATAGGTAAAAGATTATTGTTGCGGGAAGTCAGGGACCCCGAATGGAGGGACTGGCTGAAGCCATGGCAGAACATAAATTGTGAAGATTACATGGACACATATCACTTCCCCAATCAATATCCTTGTGATTTCCTATGCCTGTCTTTACTTTAATCTCTTAATCCTGTCATCTTCTTAAACTGAGGAGGATGTATGTGGCCTCAGGACCCTGTGATGATTGCGTTAACTGCACAAATTGTTTGTAGAGCGTGTGTGTTTGAACAATATGAAATCTGGGCACCTTGAAAAAAGAACAGGATAATAGCAATGTTCAGGGAACAAGGGAGATAACCTTAAACTCTGACCGCTGGTGAGCTGGGTGAAACAGAGCCTTATTTCTCTTCTTTCAAAAGCAAATGGGAGAAATATCGCTGAATTCTTTTTCTCAGGAAAGAATATCCCTGAGAAAGAGAATGCATCCCTGAGGGTAGCCCTCTGAAATGGCCACTTCAGGGGTGGCCGTCTTTTACGGTTGCAGCTGTAGGGATGAAATAAGCCCCAGTCTCCCGTAGTGCTCCCAGGCTTATTAGGACGAGGAAATTCCTGCCTAATAAATTTTGGTCAGACCGGTTGCCTGCTCTCAAACCCTGTCTCCTGATAAGATGTTATCAATGACAATGCATGCAGAAACTTCATTAGCAATTTTAATTTTACCCCGGTCCTGTGGTCCTGTGATCTCGCCCTGCCTCCATTTACCTTGTGATATCTTATTACCTTGTGAAGCATGTGATCCCTGTGACCCACACCCTATTCGTACACTCCCTCCCCTTTTGAAAATCACTAATAAAAACTTGCTGGTTTTGCAGCTTGTGGGGCATCACAGAACCTGCCAACATATGATGTCTCCCCTGGACACCCAGCTTTAAAATTTCTCTCTTTTGTATTCTGTCCCTTTATTTCTCAGAACAGCCGACACTTAGGGAAAATAGAAAAGAACCTATGTGAAATATCAGAGGTGAATTTCTCCCGATATCTGGCTGAATTTCTCCCGATAGATTATGGTTCCAGAAAATTAACAATGAAATTTGTAATCTACATCTAACAGGTATAAAAATGACAAATATTTTACAAAAATTGATGATGTAATAAATCTCAAAAGAAGTCACACAGCCTCCAAAAGTCACTATCATGTAAAACATATTTCATGATCATGATATAATTGAAGTAGAAAACAAAGCAACAAAATAATAGTTAAAAAATAAAAGAAAAAGAAGAAATAAACAAGTATATATCATTTGGAAACTTGAAAATGCTCACCTAAGTAATTCATGGTTTAATTAGGATATCAAAATGAAAAAAAAGAATTAAATGATCCTGAAAATACTATAAAAATGGGATGCAGCTAATTGAGGACTTAGAAGTAAATTTATCTATCAAAATATGCTTAATAAAAATAAAAAATATGAGTTAAATTTTCATCTAAAAATCTAGGAAAAAGAACCACAAAGAGAACAAAAAAGAACCACAAAACCACTTCCTGAAACATGAGGAAGATTAAAATTAAATTAAGAGAAATTAATGAAATAGTAAACAAATAATATATAATATCAATAAATAGAAAAACTGCTTTGAAGATAGATAATGGGGTAGGCAGTTTGCTTGGTAGGTCAATCAGTTAAAATAATGGCAAACATAAAATATTAAAGAAAAAAAGGAAAGTTAACTACAAATTAGAAATTTAAATAATTCCCAAGAGAAAAATAGATTTTATGCCAATAAAGTTGAAAGCTTAGCTAAAATGATATTTCATATGAAATATTAATGAACTATTAGACATTAAATACATTGAATTGGTCTTTACATGTAGATTCCTTTAATGTTATGTTTGTGCTTTCAGGGTTAAGTCTTACCAAACAATTAAAGAATCACTGCATTTTTTCAGGTTGTACATAAGGGACTAGCAGCTTCCACTTCATAATTAACAAAATTTAAAATTCAGTTCTTCAGTTACAGAAACCACACTTCAGGTTCTCAATAGCTATAAGTAGTTAGCAGTCACAGTGTGGATTTTTAGGGCAGTGAAGGTACTCTCTATGATACTGTGGATATACGTTATTATAAATTTCTCCAAACCCATAGAATGTATAACTGCAGAGCTATACATTCAGCTCTGCAGTTTACACTCAGAGTAAACATTAATGTAAACTGTGGGCTCTGTGTGATAATGACATGTCAATGTAGCCTCATCAGTTCTAATAAATACACCACTCTGGTGGAAGATATTGATAACTGGGAGGCTAAGCATATGTTGGGGAATATGCAATATGCAGATTGCAGATTTTCATCATCACTGAAAAGTGTTGTAGAGCTCTAATTTAGACTGAGAAACTGGCAAAAGCATAGACAAATAAACTGATGGAATAGGAAATTTAGAAATAGACCACTTATTGAGAAAATGTAGTTATGACAAATGCCATTATGAATCAACTAGGCAAAATAATATTGTCTCAACAAAATTAGATATTCCTGTGAAAGTATATAAAATCATATCCTAACTTTCTCCCATACAAATACAAAAATTCCACACAGAATTAAAAGCAACATGTAAAACATCAAAACAGTATCATAAATAATGTAATTGTAATACGCACAGAGGTAACATTTGCAAAAGATATAGCCAATGAAGATGACTATTTGGTACTTCTAAATAATTCCTACAATTTAATATGAAAAATCATAACCAATCCAATGAAAAATTGAGCAAAGAATTTGAACAGGAAATTAATGTAAAAATAAACTCAAAGAAAATAAACAGATAAACAATGCTCAAGTTCATTAATAATTAGGAAAAATGTAAATAAGATAACTGTGACATATCGTTTCATACTTGTCTTACCAGCAAAATTTTTTTTTTAATAAAAGGCTGTCGATATAGTCTGTAATGTTAAATATGTGGAGTACAGGAACTGTAGTACACTGTTAGTGGAATTGAAGTCTGCATAATCATTTCGGAGAAAAAATTGGCAATTTCAAGTAAAGTGGAAAATACGTTCACCCATTGACCTAGGACATATATATTGGGAAACTGTCACATACATGCCCAATGAGATTTGTATATGAAAATACTCAAGGCAGCATTTTTTAATAAGTGTGAAAAAATTCATTACCTAAGTGTCTACAAACAGGATAACAGATAAATACATTATAGTATATTCATGAAATGGAATAATATGCCATAGTTAAAAATCAGTGAAATTATTACAAAACTAAACCTAATCTTACCGTATGATCTAGTGGTCATGCTTCTTGAATTTACCCTAAGGAGTAGGAAACATGTCCACAAAAATACATGGATGTTTATAGCAGCTTTATTCATAATTGATAAAACTTGGAAGCAAACAAGATGTCCTTCAGTAGATGAATTGATAAACTGTGATATATTCAGACAATGAAATATTATTCAACACTGACAGGAAATGAGCTATCAAGCCATGAAAGACAT
The DNA here is from genome assembly GCF_000001405.40 of Homo sapiens. NCBI lineage: Eukaryota > Metazoa > Chordata > Mammalia > Primates > Hominidae > Homo > Homo sapiens. Next base: position 17,287,523 of record NC_000002.12, on the reverse strand, counting down.
GTAAAAAACTTATATGTGTATTACTAAGTGAAAGAAGCCAGTATGAAAAGGCTATGTATAAATGATATATTTCCAGCTGTATGACATTCTGGAAAATGCAAAACTATAGAGACGGTAAAAAAAAATCAGTGGTTGCTAGGGGTTGAGAGAAGGGAGGGATGACTAGGCAGAACACAGAGGATTTTTAGAGCAGTGAAACTACTCTCTATGATACTATGGATACTATTATTATAAATTTCTCCAAACTCATAAAATGTACAACACTCAGAGTGAACATTAATGTAAACTATGGACTCTGGGTGATAATGACTTATCAATGTAGGTTCATCAGTTCTAATAAATGTACCACTCTGGTGGAAGATACTGATAACTGGGGAGGCTACACATGTGTTGGAGAAGGGATATACATGAAAAAATTTCTGTATCTTCTGCTCAATTTTGATTTGAACCTGTAATTTCTCTTTTTAAAAGTCTATTTAAAAATTAATCAAATGAGTTATAGAGACACAATATAGACACATTAAGAAAAATGCAATGTTGATCAAATACAGCAACTTATAGAATGATATATATATCATTATTATATATAATACCATTTATATGCATCTGGAAATAAACAAAACTATGCTTATCCCATTTATGGATAGGTAGCACTAAGATAAAACATCATTGTGTATAAACAACAAAATCAAAATAGTGGTTAATTCCTGAGGATGGTGGGAAGGAAATGGGCTTACAAGGGTGTTCACGTGCTGCTTCACTACCATCTGTTTTGTTTTTATTTTTAAAAAGCAGTCTGAAACAGGTATTGCAAAATAATGGAGAAAAAAAGGGTAACATGTACTTGCTACTTACTGTGCCAGGCACAAGAGATGAAATAATAGGACTCAGCCTACATGAGAGTAAATGGCAGAGCTGTGGTTTGATCCCAGGTAATCTGTCTGTGGAATTTGTCTTTACTCTCCTGCTTTTGTTGGGATTTGATAGAGTTGGACAGTGGGTGCACAGAAGTTAATTATGTTATTTTCTGAACTTTCTGTATATTTGAAGTATTTCATGAAACAAAGCAAAATAAAATACAGGCGTTTGACCAGGTCATTAAAATCATAATGTTCCCCTCAAACCTGGCCCAGGATCCCAATGAAGGTAAACAACATCACCATCCAGCCAGTTACATAAACCAGAATCTCTCTCACCAACCAAAGTTCTGTGATTTTGATACTCAAGGCTTTCAAATCCTCTTCTTTCTCTTACCTTTACTGCTGTCATCAAAGTCCTAGTTAACATGACCTCTTTTCAGCCTCAAAACTGGTATCTCCAAAGGCTTTCATGTCTCCTTCACTCCATTCTCCACACTGCAACAAGACAGATCTTTCCAGAAGGCAAATCATATTGTCATCCTTGTGTTGCCCAGCCCCCACCCCATTTAGAAAGCTCCCTAGCTTCCTGTTACTTACACCACGAAGACTAAAGTCCTGCACACTGTATGTAAGGCCTTGCCTGGGAAGGCTCCTTTCTATTTCTCCACGGTTGCCTCTCTCCATACTCCCTCGAGCTTTTGAGACTCAAGACACCTGGCTTCCTTGCAGGCTCTCAGTCAAGCCATATGCCATCCCTCCTCAAGTTATTTGCTCAAGTTTTTCCCATTGCCTGAAACTCTCCTCATACTACTACCTGCTTTTTGAGTTATAGCTACTCTTCTTTCAGGTCTCCAGGCACAGCTGCTTCCTCAAAGGAACCTCAGGCACCATGCATGTCTCTTCCACAACACTGACACAGTTTCAATATTGCATTTTGGTGTCAGTATTTTTTTTTTTAAATTATTTCCATAGGTTTTGGGGGAACAGGTGGTATTTGGTTACATGAGTAAGTTCTTTAGTGGTGATTTGTGAGATTTTAGTGCACCTATCTCCAGAGAAGTATATACTGAAGCCAATTTGTAGTCTTTTAGCTCTCACCTCCTTCCCACCCTTTCCTTCTGAGTCCCCAAAGTCCATTGTGTCACTCTTATGCCTCTGCATCCTCACAGCTTAGCTCCTGCTATAAGTGAGAATATACGATGTTTGGTTTTCCATTCCTGAGTTGTCTTACTTAGATAATAATCTCCAATCCCATCCAGGTTGCTGCAAATGCCATTTATTCATTCCTTTTTATGGCTGAGTAGTATTCCATCATACATATATACCACAGTTTCTTTCTATTTTCTTTTATGCTTCATATTTTATTTCCCCTCTGCCTTCCCATCCCACCCTTGGTGATGGTTGTACCCATTTGAGCATTTCTGAGCACATGGCCATAAGTAAATCTTGAGAGAGGAGCAGAATTCTTGTCTAAACAGTAAGAGAAGGGGATTAGCTGCAAGGATAGCATAACTGTTGTGCAGGAACAGAAGCTGCCCAGATCTTCTTGGTGGACAATGCATAGAAGACTTAGAATTATGGAACATCTGTCTCCCCATCCACCCTTTCCTACCAGTCTCACAAACCGCCACTCCCACCCTATTCCCCATTCCATTAACAGTGTTAACAAAAGCTTAATTTTTGAGTTTTAAAGTGCAATTGATTTGGGTATGACTGCCATTGCAACAGGCCTGAAAAGAAAAAAATGAAGTCTCCTCTGTTTATGCGATGTTTTCCAGGATATAAAAGATGAGTTCCATGACGACAGGGCCCTCACTGAGCTGACAGGCCCCTCCGGGGATCACTGGCACCAAGGTGCTGTCCAGATCATTCATATACTGTGAGGGAAGGGGCTGGCCATTGCTCCCTGCTTGATAGCAAACCTGATCTGAGTCAAGTGTCATACTTAGTCCCAGTTTGGTCATTCCATCTTCCTTCAGAAGCTTCAGGTGAGGACAGAGAGCAAGGCAAAAAGCCTTGGCAACATGCTTAGTCAATCTAATTTGATTTGCAGGATCATTTGCTAAAATGATCATTTTGTAGGATCATTTAGGTGTTTTCTAGGAAAAACACCTCTGTCCATCTGATAACTTTTCCATTTGCTTTACATTCTGATCCATGGAATAGCTTCACATTTGTTATAGTCTCCATGGACTTCTCATTTATAGGACTTATGACACATTTGCTAAAGTTCTTGTCGTCATCCACCCACTGGATGTGGATGTGCTCCTGGGGATCCTCCACGTCCGTCTTCCCACAGGTGATGGTGAAGTCCTTTATCTCTCGCATTGCCTGCCTCAAGGAATCCATGTTCTCTGCAGTGATCTGGACCACAGTTTCTTTATCCACTCATCAACTGATGGGCATTTGGGTTTGTTTCACATTTGTGTGATTGCAAATTGTGCTGCTATAAACATGCATAAGCAAGTATCTTTTTTGTATAATGACTTATTTTTCTCTGGGTAGATACCCAGTAGTGGGATTGGTGGATAAAGTGGTAGTTCTACTTTTAGTTCTTTAAGGAATCTCCACATTAATTTCCAAAGTGGTTGTACTAGTTCACATTCTTCTGTCAGTCTTTACTGATGTTTGACTCTCCTATTAGAGAGCTGACATCTACAAGAAAGATAATTTAATTCCTGATTTTATTCACTTTAAAAAATAATCCCAACATAAGAAAGTGCCTAATACATAATCCTTTAAATGTTCAATGACCATTTGTCGAATGAATGATTGAATAATCACTAATACTAATTGAGTGCTTACTGTGTGGTAGGCATCCTAATAACCATTCAGTGACTCCCCATTAGCTGTGGGATGAAATGCAAATCCCTTGACCTAACAGCAAGCCCCTTCATGAACTGGTTCTACTCAACACTCCAGCCTCATTTCTCCATGCTTCTCAATTTCCTTTCCTTTAATTCTCAGTCCCTTTTCTCCAGGCATACTAAACTCGTGGCTGTTTCCAAACATGTTTCTTCCTCTTGGCCTTTGCATATACTTCTGCCTATAAACCTTTCCCACTACTTTTTGGCCAAATTTTACAAAATTATAGACTCCACCTCTGAATTTCCCTTTCCAAGGCAGATTCCTCCAAACTCTGAGGCAGGATTTTATGCCCCATCCTGAAAGATCCCACAGTACCCTATTCTTACATCTTTAGTAGTAATCTTTATTCTCAATTGAAATTGAAGACTTGCTTCTTGATTGCTGAATGGGAAATTCATTAGCATGGGGTCTCTGTCTCATCTGTATCTGTATTCTTTCAGTGCATAGCATGGTGCCTAGTGCACACTCATTAAGTAAATACTTAATGAGTAACAAAATGAATGAGACTCCTCTATAGCCTCTAGGAAGTCTACAACTTGCTTGGCAGCAGGCTCTCAGCCAGTGTAGAAGGTCCTTGGGGGCTGCAAAAGCCTCCATGAGAAAGACTGCCCCAGTAGAGGCCAGAAAATTATAGATGCCTATTCATGTGAGTAGCTCAGGTCCTTCAATTAAGTCCTGCCCCATTGGAATGGATTCTCATTCTCCAGATTGAAAGGGCTTCCTCACCAGCAGGATTTCTTAATGGGATCAACTGGTCTGGGACACTGGGCAGTCTATCAAGGAATCCTAATGTCCCTGGTACACGTCAGAAGCATGCTAGGAATGAGTCCTGTATCTGACTTTTTGCTTTTGCACTCATGAACTCAAACACACACGCCATCCATTGCCTAGTTCCTGTGAGGTCGTGCTTTCAATTATCTATTTACTCCTTTAGCGAAGACTTACACCCGCAACTGTCAAACCCAAAGTCCATGGTGTTAGCTAACATCCAATGCTGCTTCAATCATCATTAAACTTTTCTGTTTACTTGTGCTAATAGATTTAGCCTAGGAGTGTATACGTATTTTCAGAACTATATTGAGAATCTCAGAAATTCCAAAAACTTCAATACTCTAAAAGTGATGACTTTTGAATGTTGGAATTCAGGTGTCATGTCAAAGTTTCAGGGGATGCTTCAGTCTGAAGTGTCTCTGAAGTCATTTCAAGAACCAGCCCTGCCTAGGAGTCTTTTTCTGGCTACGGCAAAAGATGTCTTGCTCAGTGTCTCCTTTAAAAGAAGGGTCTCCTTGCCTGGCCATGGGGAATGTGATTAGCTGAGAGCTTCTAGCTACTAGCTTCATCAGTGTCCACTTCTGCTCTGGCTGTGTTCATGCTATTCTTAGGATGGATTCTGGCCAAAGGCTGATCAAGGCAGTGATACAAGGGCCTAGCTCTTTCAGCCCATTATGGGAGTGCTCTAATGGAAAAATTCTGTTCTGGAACTCCCTGTTGGGTTGGCCAAAGCATTATTAGATTGGTGTACTGATCTGATAACTCTCCATGCCCAAACCTGTTCTTCTTTTTCCTTTCACTGATATTATTTGTCAATAAACTTTTGCATTCTTCACTTCATCTTAGTGTCTACTTCCTTGAGAACTTAACCATTGACACAGGCTCTAGAGTGTTCATAATTTCAGTGTATGCAGCAGGTATGTCAGTGGCATGATGGGCTAGAAGGCAAGGGTGGAGAGGTATTGCTACTATTATTGCTTCTCTGACTTTGGATATTGACAGGCAAAAATAATATGTAGGATCTCTGTTGGAGAAAGGGACCACACGGGCAAAGACTTGGGGCTATCACCAGTTTGACTATTCTGTAGAGTGTATTGTGTTTGACACAACTTCAGGGCAATTGTGAGGGGACTTGTGTCTAGAAAGGTAGTTTGAGGTCAGCCTTGAATATCAAGCTAAATACTGTGGGTTTTATTTTTTAAGGAGTTGCTACATTGGAAACAAGGTCATACTTAATGTGCTTTGTGGGATTATCTGGTTTTGGCCCACATTGGGATTTGTGTGTTAAATCTGTCTAAGCAGAAATTAATTAATAAGCAGGTATTAATGCATTTGAGTTTACCTTGGAAATTTGCTTTTTAAATATGGGATTAAATAGGGGAGGGAAGCACATTTCAGGCTGGAAAGTCAGCTGAGTTAGTGCCCTCTGGTCCCTCTATAGCCTGTCAGCTTCCTCTCCTGTCCCCAAACCCCAGGTTCCTTGGAAATAACAGAGGAACAACACTGCAGCAAATGCATACTTTATTCCAGGTGGGGTGATGCATGGGTCCCTTCTACTTCATGACCTGAGGGGTGTAGCTAAATAGACATCCAGAAGTGCACTGAAATTAAGGTTGCCAGATTGAGGAAAAAAAAGTACATAAAATATATTTATATACACACATATATGAAATTTCTAAAATTATTCATTGCTTATTTGAAACAAATATAACTGTACATCTGGTATTTTATCTGGCAACCTTACTCTGCTTTCATTTTGGAGGCCTACAGCTAGTCTTAAAGAAAATAAGGCCCTTTGAGGCCCTTTCTTAACTTCTGCACCGCCCTTAATTGATTTCTGAGTCAAAACTGCTACCCCATGTCACCCAGGCCCTAGTGCCAAAGTGGCTCCACTGGAAAACCGCTCCTCCAGGCTGCCAGAACACTTGTACTTCCCTCAGAGCAGAATCGGAGGAGAGAGATTCAGGGTAATGGGGCTGATCTGCACAGACCTATGCATGCACTGAGCTCGGTCACTTCCTCTCTGAGAGCTCCTGGGCAGGTGAGGAAACCTCTTTGACTTTGAATTTCTTCATCTGTGCAACAGTGAAGCTCAATGCCTACTCGTAGGCTTGCTGAGAGAGTTGAATTTAATAGTCCTGTTCGTTGTATGGCCTGGACTGTCAGGGTGCTCATGTCATGAGAGCTGACACCCCGGTTATCCTTACTTGTGTGCCTGAGGACAGGGCCTCATATGCAGTACACAAGCTTACTGTCTATTTGCTGAATGAATCAATGAATGTATGCCTTTAGGGGATGCCTGGACCTCACTGAGGAAAATGGATGGCGTCCAAGAATGCAGGTGGGCCCAATAGGCTCAGAATGACAGTCAGACTTGGAGGGTAGGTATAAGCCCAGGGGCTGGACGTGGGTCAGGGGGAAGTAGAATAAGAAGGGAAGTGGCGAGACACCTGCGAGTCCGCCAAGGGGCTGGAAGAACTGATATGGAAGAAGGCTCTGGAACTAGGCCTGGCAATGGCCAAAGAGAGACCATGGCAGTGTGGCCTCTAAAAGAGTCCAAGAGGGTTGGGTGCAGTAGCTCACGCCTGTAATCCTAGCACTTTGGGACGCCAAGGCTGGTGGATCACCTGAGGTCAGGAGTTCAAGACCAGCCTGGCCAAAATGGTGAAACCCCATCTCTACTAAAAATATAAAAAATTAGCCAGGCATAGGGGTGTGTGCCTGTAATCCCAACTACTCAGGAGGCTGAGGCAGGAGAATCTCTTGAACCCGGTAGGCGGAGGTTGCAGTGAGCCGAGATCATGCCATTGTACTCCAGCCTGGGAAACAAGAGTGAAACTCCATTTCAAAAATTAAAAAAAATAAAATAAAATGAAAGAGCCCAAGAAGATCTGCCATATTCTCTCAAGTCAGTACAAGTAGAACAGATAAAATGATCCTGACTACTTGAAAATGTTTAAAAAGCCATTCTTGGTCTCATAGCCTTCCTCAAGATAAGTTGTCGCTGCCTAGGTCAACCACATAATTTGTTACTTAAATAGAATGCTTGTGTTACTTAAACAGAACACTCACTAAACAGTAGTGAAAGGGGCACTATTCATAGTTACATTGAGACGTTTGGCTTAGACTGGAACTTACATGGGCTACCTAGGAAGTATAGTCACCCTATCTCTGTCCGGTTTATCTCTTTTTATAGACAGAAGAAGCTTGACTGTTCTTTCAAAAGAACTATCAAGACTTGAAGGTCAGTTCCTCAGATCCTCCCTCATGTAACATGGTATAGAGATTTCCAGGAGCAGAAAAGAGCTGTGGTGAGCTTCCCAGGGGCTTGGCTGAAGAAGAGCTACAGTCTGGCTGGAGAATGTAGCTCCAGTTCATATTAGCTCTTTTCCTCCTCAAACATTTAGCAAGGGTTTATAGATTGCCTAGGCACTTCACCCTGTAATCGAAGTTATGAAAAGAAATTATGCAGGAAATAAGAGAAGACAGTATTTAGCCCCAATTAATGTTGACTTATCTGCAGTCTGTACCAGACCATAAGCTCCCTGAGGATGGCATTTATACCATTTATCCCTGTATTCTGCCTAGTACATAACAAGGAACACATCAGAAGCTTATTAACTACTTCTTGACTAAAAGCGTAAGGAATATAAAGATTATCATGTAAAAAATAAGAAAATAATAAAGTCCTTTATAAATAGTTCATTGATTCAACCAATGTTTTTGTAGTGCTTCTCTATGCTCAGCTCTAGTTTAGGCACTGATGATATTGCCTTAAGACTTCTCATTAGAAATGAGCTTTTTGGGATCTTAGGAACAATTCAATTTTCAATCTAGTAGCACCAGGTAAATGTTAGGAATTGGGAGAGAGGAGTCTGGGCTGGACTAGAGTAGACTTCATGGTGGCCCTGCATTGGGCTTTATGGATAACAAAAGAGGGGAGAGAGCATCCCTGGAGAAAGCATTGAAGGTGAATGCTAAAGAGAAAATTACACAGCATGCAGAGGGCATGAGGGTGGGATCTGAGTGCTCAGTTGATGAGTAATGGAAAGTTGGATCAAAAAAGTTGCCTGAGGGAAGATTTTTAATTCCCGAAAGGGGAGTTTGGACTTGATATGCATTAGTTTTCTGGGACTGCCATCACAAAATACTACAGACTGGGAGGCTTAAACAATAGAAATTTATTTTCTCACAGTTCTAAAGGCTGAAAGTCCAAGATCAAGGTGTCGGCATGATTGGTTCCTTCTGAGGCCTCTCCTTAGCTTGCAGAGGGTCACCTCACTGTGTCCTTACATGGTGTTTCCTCTCTGTGTTTGCATCCCTGGTGTTTCCTTGGGTGTCCAAAGTTTCCTCTTCGTGAAGACACTGGTGAGGTTGGATTACGGCACATCCTAAATGGGCTCATTTTAACGTAGTCAATTCTAAGACCCTATTTCAAATACAGTTGCATTCTGAAGTACTGGAAGTGTGGGGCTCAACATGCAAATTTTTGGAGGAGCAAGACATTTCGGATCATACAAACCAAAAAAATATAGCAGGCCAGAGGAAGCTATCAGGGATTCTTGAGTAGGCAGGTGACATTGTAAGAGTGGAATAAATGTGATTACATCTCTGCAAGGTGTGGGTCCCGGGGGGACTCTGTTAAATTAATGAACTTAGAGTTATTACAGATTCAACTGCTGAATGTGGACATGTGTCATCACTATGAAAAAAGAAAAATTGCCTCTTTGATTTATTGCTAATCACAGCAAGCTTTGGCCATGTAATTTTGTCACGTTCAAAATGCTTTTGAAAATCAATAACTTTTTCCTTAGCTGTCCACAGCTGATAATGAATATTCTTTCCAATGTCTCAGCTAATACAGGAACAAGAGGAAAATACAAATTAGAGTGTATACGACATAACTTGGTATCTTGATAAGGGCATGGCATGTACTATTCCCATTCAGTTGTGTATCTTTGTGTAATGATGACTGACTAGCTGCATTTTGTCAGCCACTTTCAAAATTGTGATGAATTGGGCAATTCTGCAAGTGACTGACCTTCATTGGATGTATTGCTCTTAATTTTCTTTTTTTTTTGGCATGGGACTGACTTTTCATTCTAATGGAATAAAAACCCATATTGCCAAGTGCTATAAATAAAATGATCATACATTTTGTTCATTAAAATAAATGTATTTGTTAAAAACTTGTTTTAGGTGCTGTGACTGATGCTGAAGATGTGGAGGTGATTAAGAAATGTCACTTTTAAAAAAATATTCCAAGTTTGGTTCAACAATCAAATTCTGGAATTACTTATTATACCTTCACTATTAAGTTTCATCCTAGTCTTCCCAAAGTTCTTTGCCAATGACCCCAGGATGCTTCATTCTACAAAATTTTTCTTATTTAGATTTTAAAAATCTATATTATGCATAAGAATAAAATGACACTATCTCCATTTAAACACCAATCATTAATCTTTTCAACTCGCAAAACAAAATTGAGGATTAAAGTGTACTCATTATCACTACCACTTGTTTATTTAATCTAGGCTATCATTGGATAATTATTTTTGAGAATTTAATGTTCTCTTGTTTATTTATAGCCTAGATGTAAATGACTGACTTCAACATGTATCTCAGAGATTTTCCTCATTGTCATAGATTCTGTTCCTTATCACCATCTCAAATATTCCAAATATGAAATTTGTTTTTCCATTTCTATGGCACTGTTTTCAAGGATTTTTGATGTATCAATTGCTGCAGTCAATGCATATGTGAGGACAAAGGGGCAATTACTGTAGTGGTTAAACAGAAATTTGGAAATTTGAAAGAAGATAGAATGCAACTTGGTGCAGATGGGTGGTGTGTCTCTGGGTGATCTAATAGTAATCAAGTCTAAAGATAGATCTGACAGGAAAGACAATCTGTACATTCATTGATTAGCACTTATCCACTTGTCAGCTGTGCTCACTTGATTTGTTTAACTTCAATCTTTTGTCTTTCTTACCATCATTAGTATCCCAAGTAAAGACTTAGAGGAGAAATTATATGACCCTCATCAGGGAGTTGAGAATGACTGTTTTCACATATCTTACACCTGATCAAGGCATGAAGTCTTAAGGTACAAACAATTATCATTCACAGTAGAACTACAAAATAACCTCATTAATATATGTGCTACTTACTTGCCTTTGATGTTGTCATAGTCCTTAACCAGACTGTAGTTATTATATGTAAGTATTACTGATTTTCCTGCAGCGTCCATTGGCACAATCCAAGGAAGAGCTATAGCATTCTATACACTTGTGATGAGGCCATCTTACCACTTACCACTTTCACTCCACTACTCACTGTTTCACCACTATTAGGATCAATCTCATTAGGGTTGGCCAGCTGTTCTCACATACGCTCCCAAATCTCAGAGTTTTAACAAGGTAGACTTTATTTCTCTCTCACATATAGTTCAATACAGGTGTTTTGCTAAATAGTGATTCTGGGACCCAGGCTGCTGCCAGCTGGTGACCCCATCTTCCTGTAGGGCCTTGGGGGTCTCTGTAAGATCCTCTGTGCCACACTGTGGTTGGAGGAAGAAAGAAAGTGAGGGGATTGAGGGACATGCATATTGGTTCCTGGAGGGAGTGTGTATTAGTTTCTTCGTGCTGCTATAACAAATAACCACAAACTTAGAGGCTCAAAATAAGATAAATGTATTATCTTACAATTCTGGAAGTTGAAGTCCTTAAATTGAGGTGTTAACAGGAGAAAAACTCCAAATCATGCTGACTGAACTCATTTTAAATTTATGAATTCTAACCTCAAGTAGACTCTTAGAGCTGGATAATAATAATTTTGTTACATCAATAAAATAGTAGCCTAATAATATAGTCTAATACTTTTAGCCTAATGATGGCCTAATAATTTTACTACGTTTCCCTAGTCGTCTGTTTCTCAGCCTGTAATGTGCATCAGAGTCACTTGGAGGGCTTAATCAAACACTTACTGCTGAGTTTATGATTCAGGCAGTTGGGTGCTGAAGGTAGTTGCTGATAGCTGAGTTGGTCTGTCCTCACTGATGTGTCTTTCAGCAGCTGAATTCTCAATGTGAGAATTGGTACAGGTTTTATTAACTGCTCTTGAATTTGCAATACAGTCGTCGACTTATGATGATTCAACTTATGATTTTTCAACTTCATGATGGTGCAAAAGCAATATGCATTCAGTGGAAATAAAACTTTGAGTTTCTGGTTTTGATCTTTTCCAGTTTCCATGCAGAAAATAACTCTCTGGTGATGCTGGGCAGTGGCAGCAATCTGCAGCACCCTGTCAGCCACACAGTCACCACCACAGTTACCAATACTTAACACTGTACTGTGTTGCCAGCATTTTTTGGATACTGCGTTTTCTGTTTTTGCGTCCCATCATGTCTACAAAATATCCATTTTCAACTTAACAATATTTTCAACATATAGATTTATCAGGAAGTAACTCCATGGTAAGTTGAGGAGCATTTGTACAAGTTTACAACTGTTTTAAATTGTAAACATACAACCGTATGTTTCTTTATAAATAGATAATTTCCCTAAATGTCCCATTTTCTCCCAAATAATGGGAAATTTTGGTGCTCCAAATCTTTCAATTATTTTCTGGTCTAAATGTTCTTCTTCTGATAATCTGGGATGCGTTAGTGACAGTTCCCATTTCAATACCAAGTCATTTTAGTGGGCTGATGAATCTTCAACTGAGAAACATAGAGAGATGTCTAAAGGGTGTGACATCTTCTATTTGATGATTAAGTAGACTCTATGTTGTTCTTATAAAAAGGGACATGGGGCCGGACGCAGTGTCTCACACCTATAATCCCAGCACTTTGGTAGGCCGAGGAGGGTGGATTGCCTGAGCTCAGGAGTTCACGACCAGCCTGGGCAACATGGAGAAACCCTGTCTCTTCTAAAATACAAAAAATTAGCCAGGTGTGGTGATGTGCACCTGTAGTCCTAGCTCCTTGGGAGGCTGAGGCAGGAGAATTGCTTTAACCCGGGAGGCAGAGGTTGCAGTGAGCCAAGATCATGCCACTGCACTCCAGTCTGGCAACAGAGCAAGACTCCATCTCAAAAAAAAAAAAAAAAAGGGACATGGAAGCTTCCCATGGCCAATATGTAGGTGTGCAGCTTTTATAATAAAAAAACCAGACAACCAAATCCTGGTTTTATCATATTGCCCAGCATGTATTTCTTTTTAAACTTGCATAAGTATACCCACAAACACACTTAACTTGTTATCAAAGACCAAGGTACTGAAATACGGTAAAAATGCCCGGTTCTAAGAATAGTACCTGGCACATAGTTGGCATTCAATAATGATCTCTTCATTCAATAAACATACATGAAGTACTGTATGAGGATTGGAAGATACATAATCTGCAGAGATGTGACAAAGAAAGGTGCAGTTCACAGTCAGATGCTGAGGAGAGATCAGATAATATGAGGACTAGAAAGCATCCACTGAATTCCCCAACACAGGGGTCAGTGGTGATCTCAAAAAAGCCACTTGAACCAAAATATCAGGGATCAAATTCAGCCTGCAGAGAGATAAGTAGTCAGTCACTGAGGAAGTAAGTATAGTTTCTATAAGAAGCTTGGCTGCAGAGGGGAGGAAAGAGAGAGATGAAGGGATGGAGGGCATCTCGGTGGGAAAACTTTTAAGGTAGGAGAGATCTGTATAAGTTTAAGTGCAGGTGATAATAGGCCCTAAGAGAGGATGTGATTGTATGTAGAGGAGAGAGAGAAGAGTTAATTGATATAGATACAGAAGAATCAATAACGGAGGATAATGAGCTAAGAGTGATTGAGCTGAGAAAAATAAGATGATGGATAATCCTTAGGCAGGAAGAGAAAGGGAAGCTCCACCATTTGTCCTGTAATGATAAAGAAGGAGTCTGAGAGGGATGCATTAAAGTGAGGAGGCAACACAGATGTTTCATAAGACTGGATAGCCCTCTTCAGAGCACTGTGTTCTTACTGGGCCCATAATCAATAGTTACAGTGCAGGTACGCATCTATCTCTCTACTGTCTTCAACAAAATTCTAGCAAGTGCTTGGAGTGGTGGTAAGAAAACTGGAGTAGAAAGCAAGAAATGTGATTTCAAGGCATGACTCTCCTACTTTTTGGGACTTCATTTCTGAGTACTGTGTTTTGGGATGGTACCAGAATGTTTCTACCCAGCATAAGGCTGCAACACAGAAGTGCTCCATGGGGAATGGATGCCAATTCCTACTAGCCATATAGGTTGTGATAAGGACAAATAAAAAGTGAGTGTGAGAAGACTTCATTCATCACAAAGTTAGCAAATTTTACATACAGGTATAAAATTACAGGTTTGGCTTCCTTTTCTTGGAAAATCTACATTTCAAAACAGATTTAAAAAAAAAAAGAAAAGAAAGAAAGAATACTAAAAGCTTTAATTGAAGAGGGCCAAAGTGTGAAGGGGTGGGATGGAAGGAGTGCATGCACCCAATTCTTCCATTGCACACTCACATCATAAACAAGTGATGAAACAGAGCAGTAACCTTGAGACCACCCTGGCAGGATGGAAGCCCAGCCAGTTAGAGTGATGCCCAAATGAAGAGCAGCCAGAGCGGCCTTCAGCCAAGTATCGATCCCACTTTCTATTCTGAGCTGTACTTAAACCTCACTTCCCCTCCTGGCATATGTCCCATCTTTAATAAAACAGAAGACAAAGTGGCTTGTGTGAGAAGGAAGCAATCCTCGGGAAACATTACCAGTGATTCACCCCTGACCCCCAGCCAGGCAGAAACTCAGCCTCCCAGAATTCTCTTGTGAATCTGCATGTGGATTTTCCAGGATGCTGCATTTCGTATAATCACCTCTACTCCACTCACTGCTATTGTACGAACAAGGGCATCAGCAAAACCCTCTCCCTTCTCACTGGCTCCTACCCTCCCCTAATATATCTTCTCAAGCTGATCACTACACACTTGCTGCCTAGCAAGTTCAGTGCTCAATAAATATTTGTTGAATGAGTGAATGAATAAATGATCATTCTATGAATGCAGCCCTGGACTGCATGGCCTGTGAGATGCTCTTCACACATGAACAATAACTGGAGTACATGGTTTACCATGAGCCACTACGGTTTGGTCACCATCAGGCCCTGAGCAGTTCCAGTAATCAGTACACCCTACAGCTCTGTAAGTAGGAGGCAGTTTCGAATCAGTCTAGTACCTTTTTAAGCACAGTGTGGGAGGGGATGCACATGTTCATCCCCTCTCTAGCACTCCTCTGCTTTGAAGTCAGAGAAATTGTGTCTCTTGGCTGAATCGTGTTTGAAGCAAGTCCATAGCAACAATAAATAACATTTATTGAGCATTTACCATTCTTCTAAGTGCTTCACACATATATCCATTTGATCCTCTCAGAGGATTCAGGATTGTTATAATCTGTATTGTATAGATATGGAAAATGAGACAAAAAGAGGTAAAGAAACCTACCAAAGCCATATAGGCTGTAAGTGGAAGAGCCAGAAATCAAATCTAGGCAGACTAATGCTGGGTCCTGCTCCCTCAACCATGACACTTTCCAACCCTAAGAGGAGACTGGAGGAAATGACAGGAAATGTGAGGATTGTAATACCTGGACTAGACATCAGGAACAAGTCAAGGCAAGTACATGCTGAAGGGTAAATGTGTCTTGCTCAAGACTACAATATGTTATTATTGCAAAATCATACTAAGCTCCTAGTATGTGCAAGGCACCCTGCTAGACACGGTGGAATAACAATAAGCCAGAGCTGAACACCTGCTATGAGCTTTACACAGATTCTTGATAACCTTGACAAGAATCATTTAAGTATTTTACAGATGAGGAAAAGAAGACTCAGATACTAGATTCGGTCACATAACAGGCCTGGCAGGGATAGGATTCAAACTCAAGACTGTCCGATCATGCATGGCCTGAGCTCTTCCCATTGTAGCATACTGCTTCTCCTGGAGAGAGATGAGGTGCCTTGTTTCCCAAACTGAGCTCCCCAGCACCCTGGTGGTGAAACACTGTAGGGTATTGGGTCCTTCTCCCTGTTCTTATGCTTCCCTGTCTGGCCTCCCTCCAGCCCAGTACTAAGCTAAAACATGGCAAGCATGTGAACATTCTATACATATATAGTCTAGCTTTCAGTTGAGGTACGCTGTCCTTTCTACTTTAAATAAAATGGGCCCAGACATCATTTCCCACGGAATTGGGATTGGCGCCCCATCTCTTCCCAATATCTCTAAGGAGTCTGGGTTTCCTCTAAGCCTGCACAGTCTTCTCTGAACTAATTGGCTATTCAAACATTCCCATATTTGAAATAACATCTGGAAGTATTGGGAATTTTGCCACTCATTTGGCTGTTGGCTGTCCTACATTCCTATTTTGACCATCCCCTTTTTCTTAGAAATGCCGGAAATATTTCTTCCCAGCTCTGCATGGTTACTCATCCTCCACTGCAGTCGGATAACTTCCACAGTGGGGCTCTTCCATACCATGGAAGGTTTCCAAACCTTTTGTTTATCCAGAAGAGTGGGTTCATCTCACATCTTGTCTTTCAGCATTTCTTGCTCCCCTTGGAGTCAGGACCCTCCTCTGGAACTTTGACCTCCAAACCCAAAGAAGTAGTTGTCACAGGTGTGACTGGCTGAGGCTGACATCGTGACCAAGACAGTCACAGGTAAAGAAAGGCAGATTTATTCAAGAAAGTATGAAGATATGGTGCAAGGGTGCAACAGCAGCATAGCAGAGAAGGAGCTATCTGAAAAGAGGCAAGGGCTGGAAGGAAGTTTTATAGGGTCATGCTAGAGGAAGCTACGTGCAAAACAAGATCATGCTGCTGGTGCTATATGCAAAGCAACGTATTAGGAAACAGGATGTTGTGCCAGAGCATTGTCTGTGCTTAGCCATCTCTTGGAACAATTGTTCTCCCCCACCAAGGTCCCCTTCGTTATTGTTGCTTACGTATCAGGACTCTGCAGAAGTGTTATCGTGGTTTGGTAGCCTGTCCACTTCACTCTCTCTTAGGTCTTTACCTCCAGAAAAGGAAGGGGAAGCTCTAGAAACTGAGCTTATTAACTGACAGGAAAATAGATGGTTCATCCCTCCAGGCTGCTCCCATAGTCTTGGCCTTCCCAAGCCTTAGTTTCCACACAATTCAAGCCACTTTCTCAGCACAAGCTAAGTTTCTTAAGAAATATCCATTATCGTTCCCTATAGTCAAAGAAAACTGTATTTTTTCTCATCAGAGTTCAAGGACTCTGCCCCATAGGTACTCCCCATTCAGACCTGAGCAATGCTTTCTTCCATGACTGTGTTTACCCTGGCCACCAGTGAAACAACCTACTCGGCCATTACTGGCATACATTCCACAGGTCCGTGGACAAAGGGCACTTCATGAGTGTTGTCACCAATCACGTTCTAAGGACCCCTCTCTCAAAACTAGAAGTGGAAAGCATCTTCGCCTCTACTCCCCAAGTCCTTAACTGTCAGGAGCTCAACCTCAGGTGGCCAAATCATACCCATATCAACCTCTTTTCTTCCCCAATATGAACTGGAGCTTTCAGTGCTCATGTTTTGTTCCATGTTAATCCCTAGGAGTAGACAACACCTTCTCCACTTCATCTAAAATTAACCTTCTAACCAGGGAACTGGAGAAGTTTCCTAACTCTACACAGCAGTTCAAGTTTTGTAGCAAAACAGTACCACAAATAATTGTAACTGCTCACTTCAATCATCTATTAGATGAATTTCTACTTTTAAAATATATCCAGCGGTCTTCAAATGAATTGGTTCATGGTTTTTCTTTTTAAGTTGATATGAAAATAATTCTATATATACTGGCAACCTTCTTTCTACAGTATCTAAGTAGATCCTATCGGTATTTCTGACTTCAATGGTGGTAACACACAGCCATTGAGGGAGATACTTGATATTTCAAAGTTGCAGATGGAGCATATACATACTGAAGCCTCATAGATTTCTTATCAGTTGGATTTCTTTTTCTGCCTGAAGGACCTTGTAGCATTGAAGCATCTCCATAGTATAGTGTCTATTCACAATTCACAATCCTCTCCAGTGCCCATGAATATTCTCTCTTTTACATTGCCTATGGCATCTTCCAAATTTGTTAATCACATGCCTCCTAGTGTCAGCCCAATCACCTGAACATTCTTGTTCAGTGATTTGACCAATGGCAAGCACATTTTCCATGGACCTCCTAAGCCCTCTTAGGGGGACACTAAATGCAAAGAAAGTAAAGGGTACAGAGATTCTGGTTTCCAAGATTCTTTCATGCTTACTTTGCTAGAGGTTTTCTTGAGCCAAAATGTTCACAAGGTACTGCATACGGCTGACTTTCTATCTAAAATACGGAGAGAGAGAGAGAGAGAGAGAGAGAGACTAATACCATAAACATAATCTCAGATTTGTTTCATAAATTCCTTCTGACTTTGGGAAGGTATTCTGAGGACAAGCCAAAGCTAGTTAATTTGTCTTCCTCTCTACCATGAAACTCTTTGGCAGCCATTTCAAGAGCGTGTCCTGACTCAGTCCTAGGATAAGAATTTATGTCAAGTTGAGCTGGATACTATATGAAAGTAGAAGCTCAAAGTGACAAAAGCTATGACCCAAATGTTCTTTGATGTGCTTTAGCTTACAAAATAGGCTCAAATCCAATTATTGTTTGGTAAGAAACTTTGTGGGGAAAGAAAAAAATTGGATTATAATTCATTTCTTGTTTTGAGGTACAATTTCCCTAATACTAGTTGAGTTTGTTTGTTTGTTTTCTTTTTTTATTTACCATCATCCCTCAAGTGCTATCCTTGTTGCTCAACATGTTGCCTCTGGCAGAGAATGCATCCCATTTCCTTGGATCCACAATGTCCTCATGCTACTTCAATAAAACTTAAATAAATAGAATAAAGAATCAAAACAGATATTTGTTGTTATTATGGGTTGAATTGTGTCAATCGAAAAGATGTTGCAGTCTTAACCTCTTGTACCTGCGAATATGACATTTGGGAAAGGGTCTTTGCAGATGATCCAGTTAAGATGAGATCATTAGAATAGGCCCTGATCTCATATGACTGTGTCTTCATAAAAAGGAAAAAAATGGACACAGGGACAAGCATACATAGAAGGAAGACATGTGAAGACATAGGGAGGTCACTCTCTCCAAGCCAAAGAATGCCTGAGGCTACCAGAAGCCAGGATTGAGGCCGGGAACAGATTTTCCCTCAGAGCTCTGTGAAGGAGCCAACTCTACCAACACCTTGATTTCAGACTTCTGGCCTCCAGAACTGTGAGACACTACATCTCTGTTGTTTAACCCACCCATTTTGTGGTACTTTGTTATGGCAGCCCCAGAAAACTGATACAGTTGTGTAGCAGAGTTTACCATAAATGTAAGAATCGGAATGCAGAGGTGTTGGTTTATATGATCATAATAATAAAAACTTTAAATATTAGATATTCCTCTCTTTTAAGAGTCTATCATTTTAAGCACCAGCTCCCCCTCTTTCCCCCTGTCTTCCTCTCTGTCACTTCCTTGGTAGGCTGCAGGCACACATTTCTATTCATTTCCTAAGCAAAGTGACACAACTATCTCTCTCCTAATTTCTGGACACCAACCAATCCATGGGTTTACAGTGTCATCCCCTACCTTCAAATAGCTAATCAAGATATTTTTCTGAGCAAAGAATATAGTCTGCCTCCACTTCTGTTATTGAAAAACTCCCCTTTTCTTTATTGAATAGAAATATCCAACAAAGACTCAAATCAGCCCTTATACCCACCTATTATCTGGTTATCAGCATTCCTTCCCATCTTAGGGGCAGAGAGATTCTCTCTGAGGGCTGAGGCTCTCACCTTAGAGAAACATGCTTGCTACAGATTCCCAGAAGAGACACCAGATGAGAAGCTGCTTCTCAGATAAGGGTTCTGCTCCTGCTCACTTTCTCCAAATAGCACATCTTTGTTTCTCTCTGTCCCTGTATTCCTCATACGACCAGTTTTCTGGTTATAATTTAGAAATGTAGAAGCCATACTGCACAGAAGAAACCTGATGTTGATCTCACAAACTTCTCAGGTGTTTATTAAAGAAGATAAATCAAAACATGACTTGCGGTTGTCTTGCACTAGTAGTTTAATACCCTGTACAATTGTCTTATCATTTTCCTCAGTCTCTTTCCTATCCTTCCTCATAGCATAATAGCAGGTTTACAAAATTGTAATTTTTTACCCAATCAATACTTGTGATTCTTCATCCCTCCTCTGGGTTAGAGTCCATCAGAGCTGCATTATTATAATATAATGGTCAGTGAAGTACCAGCCTTTCTACCAAATCTGGTACCTAAAAATGATTAGGCTTCTCTTGTTCAAATCCATGTTAGGTTAAAAACAATGAAACACATTAGGGACAATTAGGTAGTTTTGAATTGAGAATCAGAAGTCCTGGGTCTGATTTCTAGATCTACAAGATATTTTCTGTGTGATTTGGGGCAAATTACTTAACTTCTCAAGGTCTCAGTTTCCTTAACCATGAAGTAGAGATAATAATACCACATACCTTCTTCTTCCTTTCATCTCAATAACATTTTTTCTTGCTCCTTTGCCAGTTTATTCTGTCTCAGTAAACACCATATCTCCCTAGTTCATTGTAGAAACATGGTAGTCAGCTTTGATCCATGGTCCTCCTTTACCCCAACCTATCCTTATCCAACTCATCAGTAGAAATAAAATCTACTTCTCACATCTTTCACAAATTGTCCAATTCTGTCCATCTGTACTGCAACACTCTAGTCCAAGCAGCATAATCTGCCTGTATCACTAAAATGTTTTTCTAACTGACCTCTCTTGCATCTCTCCAACACTATTTTAACAGGGTTTTTGGAACATAATTCAGCTCATGAAATTTTCTGGATTAAAAACCTTTACAAAATGCCTTCATGAATAAACCACTCTTTATATATAAAGGTTTAAATTGGTGTTGTCAGCCTAAAGGTTTGAGCCTCTATGTTTTGTTTGTCCTGAAGAGGATTTTAATTAGCTGCCTACATTTAAAAATCAGAAGATTTTGCATAAAACTCAGATTCCCAGAGTCCCTTGAAAAATTATATTTGCTCACACTATGTCTGATTCCCTGTGTAAACCAGCAATTGAAACACAGAAGTGGTTCCAAATGGACAAGACTCGCTCCTCCCAGTCTGCCCTGCTGTTGTTTTCTACACAGCCCACTTCACTAAAGAATATACCTTCCTGGTTTTATTAGGCATTTGAGTTTTTAATCTCTGGTCTGGGTTGATTGAAGGAAAAGAAGCTGGATTTTTCCAGTTTATGTAGGGGGCCTAGCCCAATCCTAGAAATGGCTTCCTCAAGTTTAGACAAAAGTTCAGGGTCTATACTATATCCATGGCTGCACATATAAAGTCTTCTAAGTCTTCATTCTGTAAAACATGTTGAGCAAAGACTCACTGGGCAATTGACAATTGTGCATGTATTTTTTCTTTAATAAAAACCCTACTACACATTCATTTGAATGACTAGAATTGAAACAGGTGACAACACCAACTGCTAAGAAGGATGCAGAGCAACAGAACTCTCCTTTATTGCTGGTGGAAAGACAAAATAAAACAGACATTTTGGAAGACAGCTTTATAGTTTCTTATAAAAGTAAACATAGTCTTACCATACCATCAAGTATATATGTTCCTAGGTATTTGCCTGACAGATTTGAAAGCCAATTTCTACACAAAAAGCTGTGTACAAATATTTATAGCAGGTTTCTTTATACTCACCAAAACCAGGAAGCAACCAAGATGTACTTCAGTGGACAAATGGATAAATAAACTGTGGCACATCCAGAAAATGGGATATTATTCAGGAATAAAAAGAGATGGGCTCTCAAGCCAGGAAAAGATATGGATAAATCTTCAGTGCATATTGCTAAGTAAAAGAAACCATTTGAAAAAGCTGTATAGCATAGAATTTTGATTATATGACACCCTAGAGAAGACAGAACAGTAAAGGTAATAAAGAGATTAATGATAACCCAGATTATTTAAGAGTGTGGGGGCAAAGGCAGGGTTGGATAGGTGAGGCACAGAAGATGCTTTAGGGCATGAAACTCTTTTGCATGATACTCTTGCAGTGAATACCAGACATTAAGCATTTGTTAAAACCTACAGAACTTTATAGAACAAATAAAAATTTTAATGTATATACATTTGTAAACATTATGTAGAAGATCAGAGGATTTCAGGATGAAATGCAGAATATTATAAAAAATAATATAAATGTATTGCAAATGTAAGAAACAACCACCCTAAAGGGATGTGGAAATGAAGTACTGACCTAAGTAACTTTGGAAATTAGTGGAGTCTATAAGACTACAGGCAAAAGGAAGAAATCACCATACTGTAGATAATAAGTTGTTTCCATGGGGCTATGGGTTAACAACTCCGAAACCATATACAAGTATATGGAATTCAACAATTAGTTGAATGAATGGTGAATAGTGGGAGACTGATTCTCACTGTTACAGTGCAAGGTTACAGACAAGCAAGAGTAGAAGGTTAGAATAGTCCATGGGTCATGGATTAGAGTTGGAATTATCTATTTATCAGAGTGTTTATTTATTAGGTTGGTGCAAAAGTTATGGCAAAAACAGCAATTACCTTTGCACCAACCTAAGATCATCTCTCTCTGTCTCTCTCATCACATTATAAGTTTCATGTGGGTAGATCCATGGGCAGTGGATTAGAGTTGGAGACATCAGTATAAACTCATGTTTAGCTTAATATAGACACAAATAATCACATATGGAAATATGTATCGATCTGTGTTTATATCTAAACACATGTCTATGTAACACAGGTTAGCAGGCACACACATGTGACTCTGCTGTGTTAGCTGAAGCAGGTCTGAAGCAACAACACAATGGGTATATCTGCAACCCAGATCTTGGTTTCTAACACCATTCTCCAACAAAAAGAAACAGGGTTTCTTGAAGAAATAATGGATTCTAGGACTGGGGCAGAAAATACGTAAGCTAAAACTAGAAAATCTTGTAGCGCCAGAAAGTAACAAAATGCTCAAAAACCAACAAATGAATCGCACAGTCAGGGGCATGTCAAAGAGACGTAAGAACCAAGTGAAGGAGCCCTCAATGGCCAGAGCTTGAGCAACCGAGCAACAAAACAAATAAAATAGTGTTTAATCATAACCCAAAGTATAAAATGAATATCCATTAATTCATGCTGATATAAATAAATAATTGAATATATAAATAAATGAGAAAGGGTAGACAAATCTTCCATACATAACAATCCCAAATAATTTATGTACATCTTCTGTGTTTAAGGGGGTAGAGGTTAACTTTCCACTCCTTAAATGTGGGCTGCCCATAGGAACTTCCCCCTAAACAGTATGCCAAGGGAAAAAAGAATAATTTTACAGTAGGAAGACCTGACAAATAGTTCCTCAAGCTGGATGATCAAGGTCAATATGCACAGTGATAAGTCATATTGATAATATGTACCCTTGACATGACATTATGAGAAGGACACTTTGCTTCTGTGTGTTCCTCACAATGACCCGTGACCCCGGTCCAATCATAAGAAAAACATCAGACAAATCCCAAACTGGGGGACATTTTAAAAAATATCTAACCAGCAATCCTCAAAACTTTTAAGGTTATAAAAAAACAAGGAAAATCTGAGGAGGTCACAATGAAGAGAGCCTAATGAGACACGATGACTAATTCTAATGTGGCATCCTTAGTGGGATAATAAAAGAGAAAAAGGACATTAGGAGAAAACTGAGGAAATCTAAATAAAGTGTGGACTTTAGTGAGTAGTAATGTATTCATATTGATTTATTAATTGTGACAAATGGACTGTACTAATGTAAGATATAAATAACAGGGAAACTGGATGTGGGGGATATGGAAACTCTGTACTATCTTCTCAATAATTCTCTAAATCTAAAACTGCTCTAAAATAAAAGTTTATTTTTTTGAAAATAGATTACACTTTGAATAAAATCCAGATCCCTTATCATGAGCCACAGCACCCAGCATGATGTGCTCCTGCCCACCCTTCCCACTCCACCCTGAACCACTTTCCCTTTGCTCAATAATCTTTGGCCAGATCCCTGTCACATCACATTCATTTCTGTGTTGGGGCCACCACATGGTCTGTGACAACCTCCTGGGATGTTCTTCACTCTGACATCTAATTGCCTCTTCTTAATCACTCAGGTCTCAGCTCAAGCGTCTTTTCCCCAGAGAGAGCCTCTGCTGAATTCCCGAAGGAAATCATGTGCCCTCAAGTCTGATATTCATCACTCTATATGTTGTTTTATTTCTCAGCATGTGCTATAAAATGGAATTACCTATTGACAGGAGTGTTTTTTGTTTAACATCTCCCACCACACTGTAAGTTCCATGCAGGTGGAAATAATTTCTGCTTTACTAGTAGTTGAACACCCAGCACCTAATTTAATGCCTGGCTCATTACAGGTATTCAAAAATATTTTTGGATTAAATTAATTAAATGAGACACTGTAGGTGGCAGGGTCTATTCCAATGTCTAAATTATGTTTTTACATCATCTTACACTGTGCACTCAACAGAGTATCTATCATGCCATATATGTACTCAACAGCTATCTATTGAACTAGTAAATGCATAAGCAGGCAGGAGACTCACCTAGATCCTACTTCTCTATGTCTATCCAAATAACACCCACATAGCAGCAACCTCCCCCATGAAGCATGTCTTGCCATCCACCTCTCAGACTGTTAAATCTTCCCTTACTGAATTTCCACTGCAAATGCTTGTCTTGGGACTTTTAATAACCAAGTCATATATATAATATATATATAAATAAAACTTTGTTATTAATATAAATATTAAAATATATAAATTATAATCTATAATATGTTATTAATATATAATATATGTAATTTAATATATGTTAAATATATATATATGTAATGATCAAGATGTTTATCTCTGTGCATTCCATGCTGAGGCAGGTAATGACCAGAGGACCCTGACATAACGATAATGAAGACAGAGAAGTTCAGATATCCCTGTGAGTTTACATATCTCTCAGATTATCGTGAGGATTTTTTTCTCTCTTCTGGCTTCCCAACCTCTGATCCTCTCCCATTGCTCATACCCACTCCCAGTCACCCCCTTTATATACACACATACACAAATTGAGGACAGTCATGTTGCTTAGTCAGACAAAGAAGAAACATTTCGCTGAAGGCACACAGCTGAAAGAGGTCATTGGTCATCCAGATCCAATAGAGAAGAGGAGGTTTCTGTGCCATATAAGAGGTTTGCCTGGGAATGAGAGTTTCCCCATGTTGCAGGACTTTCTCCTGGGAAAGTTGCAGACACACCAGGATGAGTTGGTCACCCTGCCATTCTAGGCAAGCTGGTGAACAGCTTTTATTCTTGTTTTATTCTTGCTATCTCAGATTTATCCTTGAGGCCTCAGGTTCAAGGCATACATTTAGAAGAGGAGAGTGTACCAGGCTTCTCTTGTGTGTCTGCTTACAAATCAAAGAAAAGAACAAGATTATTACAGTGATTTCCAACCTCCAAATTACTTTTTACAACCTCCCTCCACTCCAGCATCCACATGGAAGTTTGTGTAAATGGTATGTGGAAATCACACATCCCTATGCTCAGAGTCAGGTTCAGGTGGACACAGATGTGGGTGGCTCCTGGGAAGATAAAGAAAATATTTTCTGGTGGAGGAGGGGAGGTAGCAAAACAGAAAATAATTCTTTTGTCAAGCACATAATGTGAAGAGAAACAATTACATCTCTGTACTTCAAAAAAAAAAAAAGTGTTCTGGGAAAATGGGGGAAATTGAATAAGAAGGGAAAAATAAAGTCAAGACAGAAGATGACAGTTCTGTAAAGTTTTACATGACAAAGGCAATAACCACCTTAACCAAATAATATTTAAAAGGGAAAGCAGGGAAATCTGCATGCGTGAAGATAACAATTTTAAGGGCAAAAGATACCAGTTTTGGAAACAATGAGGATCAAAACTATGCAAATGGCAAACCTTGCCACACAAATGGTGATTTTAACGAGGAAATTATGAAACAGAAGGAAGAAAAACAATAACTGCAGTAGATCTTGATTTTTATTAAGTGATTGACATTGTCTAATGAAATTACACTTGAAACATTAATTGAAATGAGATCAAATTAAGATAGAAATTGCAAAAATGGCTTTACAAGAAATAGCAATAAACTGGGTCTCTTGGGAAGTGTAAGTTTAGATGACACCAAGCCTGGCACTGGGTCCTCATATCCATTGGTGACACAGTGAACACAGCCACAAGAACTGAATTAAAACCCCCGGCTGCTGACCTGAGGGTGCGGGCTGTAGAAATTGGGTGGGGAGCTCTCATATCGAGAATTGAAGTATATGAGATAATGTATTTTAGATAGCCTCTAGTCCATCCTTCTCATCCTAGAAATAAAAAAAAAAAAAATGGAAGCATAGATTTATGAAGTGATTTTTCCATAGCCAGATAGAATATGTGCGGCAGAGTTGAGCCTCACAGTTCAGTTTGCTGAACATCAGTAAACAAATAAAAATGCAAATGAAAACCACAATAAGATAGCATCTCATGCTGGTTAGAATGACTGGTATATACCCAAAGGAATATAAATTATTCTACCATAAAGACCCATACACACGTATGTTTGTCGCAGCACTGTCCACAATAGCAAAGACATGCAATCAATCTAAATGCCCACCAAGGGTAGACTAGATAAAAAAAATGTGGTGCAGATACACCATGGAATACTACATAGCCATAAAAAACCAAGATCATGTCCTTTTCAGCAACATTGATGGATTTGGAGGACATTATCCTTAGAAAACTAACACAAGAACAGAAAACCAAATACTGCATTTTTTCACATCTAAGACAGCGCTAAACAAAGAGAACATATGGACTCAAAGAAGGGAACAACAGACACTGTTGATCCTGTAAAAACATAATTTAGACATTGGAATAGACCCTGCCACCTACAGTGTCTCATTTAATTAATTTATTCCAAAAATATTTTTGAAAGCCTGTTATAAGCCAGGCATTAAATTAGAAGCTGGGTGTTCAACGACTAGTAAAGCAGAAATTATTTCCACCTGCATGGAACTTACAATGTGGTGGGAGATGTTAAACAAAAAACACTCCTGTCAATAGGTAATTCCATTTTATAGCACATGCTGAGAAAGAAAACAACACATAGAGTGTGAATATCAGACTTGAGAGCCTCCTTGAGGGTAGAGGGTGAGAGGAAGGAGAGGACCAAAAAACTACCTATCAGGTACTATGCTTATCACATGGGTGATGAAATTATCTGTACACCAAACCCCTGTGACACACAATTTACCTATGTAATAAACCTGCACATATACCCCTCACCATAAAATAAAAATTAAAAAAGAAAGGAGACTGAACCCCTAGACTGGGCAGCATGTTCACCATGTGTGCTACTGCAGCACGTGTCACATTGTAGCTTTGTTGAGCATGGGAACATCTTAGAAAGCAGGCATATGTATACATATGCTCCCTCCAAACTCTGTGTATAACAAGGAAAACAAAGATAGTCAGAGGTTTTTTTTGCATATCCGTTCTTCGTTAAAATGAGACGCTGGTGATCTTGGACACAGAGTCATAGCTCTGCCCTACTGAGCATAGTTCACTGGCTGCCAGAGACTGTCTCTGGAATGCTCTTTTTGGAAGCTTCCATTTCTCTAGAGAGAGAGAGACAAATAATAGATAGTTTTTGAGTTTTCGAGAAACTCTACTTAGTTTCTGCCTTAGTGCCAGAAGTACTTTGGGTTCGATGTCAAACATACCATTTTGGTCGCCCTTCCTTCTTGCCTGGGCTCATATCAGTTAGTACCTTCATGTCTACTGCCTCCTGTTCATGCCCTATCTTCCCCATCTTAGCAGGAATAGACGAAGGGTTAGGCCAGGGCTTTCTTTGCCTTTGAACTATGTTAAATGACTCCTTTTCAAGATGCCAGGGTCTAGCACCCTAAGAACATTTTACCTTCCTTGTTTTAAAAAGGAGGTATGGGCTTGGAGCAACTTGCATTCTCTTCGCACCTGACTCATCCCAGCTTCTGAGAATGGGTTTGGCCTGAGAGGACCGTGCAGCCACACCACTGCTTTCCTTTCATTTCTGAGTTCTCCTTTACTTCTCGCACCCACAAGAGTCATATTAACTGAGCAGCAAACAATTTCCCCATAAAGTAGTCAATGTTCTTGGCCAAAATATATATTTTTCTACTCATTTAAATTTGGTTATGAATGTAACTCTCTTCATCTCCCTCTTTGCCTCTAACTTCCTTGCAAGACTTTCTTAATCCCAAGGAGAGCCTGGGATTAAGCTATAAGCTTTACCAGGCAGGGCAGGGCCTCATCTCGTTTCTATATCATTGTGCCTCTATCAGGGGATTGCCAACCAGCCAATATTTATTGAATCTGACCAAAATTCTATACAAATTAGCTTCGATATTTTATACCCACACCTTTTATGAATGTATTTTCAACTAAAGAAATATGTCATAGTTATTTGGTACCTGTGGGGATAGAAAGGAGGAGATATGTATTTAATTTGGGTATGATAAAACTTCAGTTAAGTAACAGAACCCAAGTTATTAAAATCATTGCCTTAATTTCTTCTTTAGGAAAGAATGAAGAATAAAAATACAAATAGGTTGAATAAAAATAATGCATTTCATAATGTTGAATAAAAATAATGCATTTCATAATAAAGGGATACTCAAAGTCTTATGATGTAACCTGTATTTGGCCTAATTCCCCAATCAGAAACTTCCAGAGTGAGGATTTCATGGTCTGGGAATGTCTTTACTTAGGAAAGAATAATTCCACAATGTTTGTCCACCTGGCCTTAAAGGGCAACGTGGTAGAGTAAGTTCCTTTCAAGTGATTTTCTGTTGCAAGGGCTGAAAAAAAGGATGGTGTGATTGAGAATGTAGGCTGAGGATTCTGCAATTTGGGTTCAAATCCTGGTTTTGTCTA
This sequence comes from Homo sapiens, assembly GCF_000001405.40. Lineage (NCBI taxonomy): Eukaryota > Metazoa > Chordata > Mammalia > Primates > Hominidae > Homo > Homo sapiens. The sequence goes on along the minus strand of NC_000002.12, from coordinate 17,258,906 downwards.
TTTTTCAAAGTCAAACTTTCTGAATTTGCTTTCCGCACCTATTTTCATGGAGAGATGATGTGAGAATCAAATGAGATGTTATATATAACGGCATAGCTAAGTTCCTGACTAGAATGGGCACTTAATAAATGCTAGCTTCTATTGCAAGCCAGCATAACGATGTGGATTTCCTGATCAAGCTGCTTTATCTAGAATGCTTTATAATAATAATTCTCTTACTACACTGTTGATTTGGGAATTTACCCTGTGTGTGCATGCGTGTGTGTATGTGTCAAAAAGTGTATACACACAGCAAAATCTTACTCTTCTGAAGCTGTCTCTCAGTAACTGCATCTCATCTGAACTACAGCCAGGAATCATGAACCATGTATAACCAGCCTTTGCCTAGGCACAATGGATGTGGCAAAACTCATGGACTAAAGCATAAGTATTTTTCTCAGATGAGAGCCCCTCTGGTGCTCATCCACTTGTCCTAGAGGACAGACGTGGCATCTTACTCATCTTTTATTCTCTATAGCATTTTCTGGAATATTGTTTGACTTCCATGTATTTGGTAACTCAACATGAATTATAGCTTGAGATTTGGTTTCCCATGGCAGAATGGAAAGAAAAAAATGGAAAGAAATATGCCATTTTTAGAAACAGGTACATTGACAGCAATGAAAAGTAGCCACTAGCAGTTCTAATTTTAAATATCTTATTCTGACACAAATGAACCAAGCAGACACAAGTGCCCAATAGGGCTATTTAGTTCAGGGGTGAATACCATAATATACTTTAGAAGGCTTGAGGGCATCAACAGTAGACAGCACTATGCTTAATACTGCTAATAAAAATCCTCAGGTGGCAGGAAAAGGCTAAGTCATGTTCAATATTTGGAAGATTGATATCTCAAATGTCATTACCTAAAGCATATGATATACATATATGCTGAATTTTTCTGGAACTCACAAGTTTCAGGGTGCAAAAGAGATCATAGTAATATAAACTGAAATTTCACAGGCTTGTAGATAGACCTACAGAACATCGTACCTTTGGCTCACTAAACTATTGCCCTCCTATGAATTTCTAGAAGTCCCTGGGGAGTAAGTTACTAGTTCTCAAGAAAAAAGTCTGCTCTGCTTGGGTACAGAGTTTACTTTGTCTGTCACTGCAGTTTTTCTAGTTATTGCTGTTTCTCTACTGGGCCCCATAGTCTCTGCAGGTCTCCAATGTCCTCTGGGAAATTTAAGCTCCCTGGGGCACAGTGTGATACTATAGTTTCTGTTGAGGACTCCATCAGTACACTTTAGCCTTCAAGACACGAAGGCTGCCCTGTAATGCATGGTCAAAGATGTCCATCTCCCTCAGTGCTCCAGCAATGCATGTAGCTCCCAAAGTTGTACAGAACTTTAATTAAAAAGCTTTTTCATATTTTACTTATAACCCCTCTGTTTCTTAAAAGATTTAGATCTGAGTCCAGTGAGGACTGAACCAGAAGACAAAGCCTAGTAATCGTCACCATGCTATAATTAGACCCAACCTTCCTCTTGATGACTCAGAATTCACTTATTGACTCAATCTCAGGCTTTTTCTTTCCCTTAGGATTAGTCTCAAAAGATTCCTTATTCTTCATGAAAATAGTCATCTCTCAGGCTGCCCCATGGGTTTACCGACATACTCAGATAAATGGGAATTCTTTTCTTTCTTCCTTCATCCTTCCCCTCTCTCCTTTAAAAATTTTCCTCAACAAATATTTCATGAACACATACTAGATGCCAGGTACTATTCTGGGTGATAGGATCACGGCAACAAACAGAACACACAATGTCTGGTCTTTCGGAGAGTCTTGTGGGAGAAACATAACAATAAGCAATGAAATATATGGGGGTATGTACTGCAAATTGTTAAATCTTTATATTGCCTTGATGCCTCAACATTCCCACGAGCAGGCTATGAGCACCCTGCCTGGTTGTCCAGGTGCACCAGTATGACAGACAGGGCTGTTCCCTTCCAAAAGGGCCCCTTCTTGCCCACTCCTGAATGGGACCTAATGACATTCAACCACACCAATGAAACCCCCTTGTGCCTTTGGCTTGTGGACTCCATTCTGACCCCCAATAAGGCCACTTGCCCACAGGTCCTCACTTTCCCCTGTTCAGCTCGCCATCTGCTCAGTTGAGCTCACTCCCTGGGAGCTTCTCTCAAGTGGCCCCTGGCATGGCATGGTGTGCCTCTCTCCTCTAGGATCTGTGAGTATAATAAATCCTCTAATTTCATATGCCTCTCTGAGTGTGATTTCCATGGCTATTTTGAAATGATTCTTAAAGACTCCATGAGGGGGACTTACTTCTCCATTTACAACAAAGGATGCTATTTAGATAGGAAGTCATAAAGACTTTCTGGATCAGGTGCTATTTCAGCAGCAACATTAATAAGGAAAGACAATAAGGCAACAGGTATCTCAGGAAAGATGATTCTGCTAGGAGGGAGCAGTAAGTTCAAGAGCCCTGGGGCAGGAACATGGCTGGACTGTTTGAGGAATAGCAAGGAGGTTAGATTTATTGGAACAGAAGGAGTGAAATGCAGAAAGAGATAGAAGAAGAGGTCTGAAGGTTACCCAGGATGAAAACGCAAGTGGATCATTGTATAACTTGGTAGTACGTCAAATAAATATAGATTAAAAAAAACCCTTGTGGGATCTTGAGCAGAAGATTCACAAATCTCTCTTGCCTTCTAAAAGGACCACTCTTTCTGCTGTGTGGAGATTTGATTATGGGAGGGAAAGTGTGGAAGGAAAGAGACAAGTAAGGGGGCAATTCTAAAAATTCAGGTGAGAGGTGATGGTAGCTTGATTTAGGTGACAAAAGTGAACAGAGGTGAGCAGTGACCTATTTTTGGATATAATTTGAATGTAATCAAATACAGAATTATTTTAGAAATGAAACATTTTAACAGATAGGAGAAAAACTGGTGATTCAAGAGTGATTTCATTGTTGTTGGCTGTAGACTGGAATTTCATCTGCTGAGATTGGGGATATTGGAGAGCACCAGGCAGAAACAAGTAGAATCTCAGCTGGGGGCTTGGACATGTTAAATTTAGGGCATTTATTAGATATTTAAACAGAGACGTGTTAGTTTGCTGGGGCTGCTGCAACAAGGTAATACAAATTTTCTGGGTGGCTTAAGCAACAGAAACTTACTGCCTCACAGTTCTGGAGACTAGATGTCCGAGATCAAGGTGTTGACTGAGTTGGTTCCTTCTAACATCTGTGACAGAAGGATTTGTTCCTGGCCTCTCACCTTGGCATGTCAGTGGCTGTCTTCTCTCTATATGTCTTTATATCATCTTCTCTCTATGTGTGTCTGTGTTCACATTTCCTCTTCTTGTAAGTATGCCAATTATATTGGATTAAGAGTCACACTAATAATCTCATTGTAACTCAATTACCTCTATAAAGATTTTCTATCCAAGTAATGTCATGTTCTGAAGTACTAAGTATTAGGAAACATGGATTTTGGGGGGACATGATTCAATCTATAACAGATGTCAAGTAAGCAGCTGGATAGATGACTACGAAGTCCAGGGAGAGGTTGGAGATAAGATGTGTATTAGCTTTTATCTGCACATAGATTGTATTTGAAGCCCTGAGGCTGGGTGAGGTCACTATCTGAGAAAAGTGGAGATAGAGAAGATGTCTTCAGATACTCCAATATTCATAGGTGGGTGATTCTGACTACACTCACTCCGAATCTCCAGTTACATTCATTTTCATAAATTCTAATTTTACCTTAGATTATTGGGTCTGGGACTTTCTGGGCCATGCAGAGTTCAAGCCAATGGGCCCTTTCTCAGAGGAGAGGGGCACTTTATGCTGTGGTAAGATCAAAGCAGACACTACTTACATGGAGAATGAAGGTTCTGATGGACTCTGATGCTAGCGGCTGCTGCTTTCTTAAAAAGTTCACTTTTGGGCAGTTTTAGCATTGTCCTTGAAAATATAAAGCACATTTTAAAGTACATTAAGGAACTTTTCCTTGACTGAATGATAGCCTTGATAGAAAAGGAAGCGGGAGACTTGTTTCAGATGTGCAACTCCCACAATGTCCTAGAAATGAACTAAAAAATATAGCCCTTTTCTTTTCATCTTTTGTTACTTAGTGACACATAACAGACCATTTAGCTTGTTTTGAGAGTTCAGAATACCTGCAAAACATGGCTTGGCCATATTCCTGGAAAGGATGTCTTCATTCAGCAGACATTTACCGAGTGCCCTCAGCAAATTGTGATTCTGGGTAGTATGACTACACGTCTAGCCTAAGGGGATAATGGGATGGTTTTGCATTCTGGGATGATTATTAACACAAATAGCATATTATGATAGGAAGAGCATGGAGCTGAGACATGAAAATTCTCTTCTGAGACCTGACTCCAATCTTGTACATGACCATTGACAATTCACTTATGCCTGCACTTTGCCCAACACATGAGGGATGTGCACTTGGATGACCTCAGAGATTCCTCCTAAATCTAATGTTCTATAGTCTTATGACTCAAAGAAAAATAAATTGCCTCTAATTTTTAAAAGCTATTGCTACTTCCAGGGGACCCAGACATTTGGCCTAGTTCTCTGATTTGATGTTGGCCCTGGAATGACATTCTGAGTGGGAAGACAAAGAGTGTTCCTGTTAGCAAAATAACAAGAAAGTTTCAAAAACAAATCCTCAACACCCTAAACCTTGTCTCCGGTGTAACTTTTTGCTTTTGCTCTTCTACACCCACCTTGTACTTGGTGACTCACATTCCATTACAATGTGTTTAGAGTGATCTTTCTGAGTGTTAGACTTCAAAGTGTTCAACTTTCTTGAGAAATATATTTAAAACTATTAGCTTTGATCTCATCCACAGACTATCACTTGAGACCATTTTCCTCTGTTTGGGTGCAGTTTGAGGACTCCTTGTTACCTTCTCTCTTCAGATTGACATCCAGAGGTGTGACTGTGTATGCGAAAGGCTACGCAGGGAGTACTCTTGTCCACTTTGTGACGAGGAGGCCTCACTGTCAACTAAGACAACACCTTTAATTGCTGCTTAGAATCTAAAGTTCTTCCGGGCTTTGGTTTTTCACCTACAATGTTGGGTGCCTTCTGTTGCTGCCGTTCTGGTTTAGTGACAGATAAGAGGTCATATCCATTTAATGGCACAGAAAGCCACCTGACCGGTGGCAAACACACATGTTGCCTCATGCCTCCCATGCCAAATTCCCCTTTCTTCACCTGCAGTCATCATTTGCAAACTCTCTTTTGATGAGGCTGTAACTTTCCATTTGCTCTTATGAGTTCATTAAATTTAAGGACTTAAAAGGTTAAAGCTGGCAGTGAACTTAGAGATAATTCGAACCATGAGAAAACACGTCTAGAAGTAAAGCAGTTGCTCTAGGTTGCTCTGAGACAGGGGTGATGCCAGGACTAGAAACAGGCTTAGGGCTCTGGTGTCATTCTTTTCTGCCACATCTCTCTCAGTGTAGCCTGAAGCAAGAGGATGAGAACAGACTGGGGCATAGCCACATATTGCCTCCCAGTGAGTTCACTTTTTTCTCCTAAATGGGATTCTTTATTTTTGACAAAATAATAGGTTCCACTTAAATATCCATATTTTTGATATTTATTTTTAAACCTCAAGGACTAATTAAAATGTTAAATACCTCTTGCATATGATGACGTTGAGGAGATGTTTTATGTTGAAGCAGAAGTTTCTTTTTGCTCTTTCATTGTTTCTCAGGGCTCTGCATAGCTTCTGGGGGTTTTGCAAGCCAAGCTGTTTTCTAAAGATAAATGAAATTTACTTCAAAAGCGTAGGAGTGTGATTCTGCCCCAGTGTCACTGTCTTGTGCCTATAGATCTTTCTCTCACAGGTGCCCACCTAACAATGTAGCACTGGGATTTGTTTCAAGAGTTAATCCACAAAGGAGACAAGCTTATTGAGAAACCCTTCTTTTTAGTTTAGTATTTGGCTCAGAAGCCTATATGAATCCTCCACATTTGCTTTCCACATCACTCCATCATGGGCTTCTACACTTTTGTGCACTTTCCTCTAATATAGCACTTACCAATATCTATGTATTTATCTTCTCTCCTAATGTTCAATGGCTTTTTTTTTCTTTTTACAGAGTTTCGCTCTTGTCGCCCAGGCTGGAGTGCAGTGGTGCGATCTCGGCTCACTGCAACTTCTGCCTGCTGGGTTCAAGTGATTGTCTTGCCTCAGCCTCCGGAGTAGCTGGGATTACAGGTGACCACCACCACATCTGGCTAATTTGTTGTATTTTTAGTAGAGACGGGGTTTCGCCATGTGGGCCAGGCTGGTCTCGAACTCCTGACCTCAAGTAAGCCACTGCCCTTGGCCTCCCAAAGTGCTGGGATTACAGGCGTGAGTCATTGTGCCCTGCCTATTCTGTGGCTTTTTGAGGTCAGGGCTCAGTTTCTTTTTTGTAGCCCCAGAGTGCTTATTAGCATAGTGCTTTAGAAGTAGTATATGGTTAGCAAATATTTCAAAAGTGACTAAATCAGCAAATGTATAGTTGTGTAGGGCAAGTGTTAGCTGGTTTTTCTGAGAATCAGGTGTCAAGACAAGATTATTACACAAAACATCTGGAAGAGAAAATGAGGAGGGAGTCAGGTCAGGAAAGTGTGGGAGAGAAGTCGCCCTGTGATCTTGAGTGAAGGAGTGAATATGGGGTGAATAAAAGCATCCCAGACTGTCCTGAAGTCTAAGGATTGGGTGTAAAGGCATTGGAGACTCCTCAAGGCATTGGAGACTCCTCAAGCCAACTTTAACCACCCAAACAGTCCTAGGTCTCCCCAGAATGGGCCTGTACCTCTGCTGCTCTCAGGCATTGGCTGGCAACAGCCGGTGGGGAGAATGGCCTGGGTGCAGCCTTTGGGTAGACTTCAGAGCACAGCAGTTGGGGCCCTTGGTCAATTGTTCCCCCTTTAATTGGAGGTCTGGAGGGGACATCCTTATGGTTGAGGAACATATGGAAGATTTTTACCAGTGATTGTGGTATCTCCTTAGGTGGACGGGAGTTTTCTGGAATGCTAGGAAGCTGGAAGCAGAGAAATTATTAGAAGGTTCCCAGTCACTGGTTCAGCTTTCTCCACCCAGTTGAGGATTGGTTTTACTGGTGCTATTTGTGTCAAAAAAACAAGATGTCCTGGTGAACAAAAATATAAGTGAATGTAAATATAAATATAAATGGGAAGAGAACTGATTGCTTGCGTAAGCTGCTCAGGCATGGTGGTGCCTGCCTGTGGATAAGGCAGGGGTATAACAAGAACATGGCTTCCTTCTTAGTCCTAGAAGCGCTTCACCTGTCATTGGAGGCAGTAAGCTCGGTTGGAAACAGCAGATAAAGGAAAAGCTTCATAAAAGGAGGGCATGCGGCATCTGCTTTGTGTAGTCCTGTGGCAGCCTTTCTTTGATTAGTTCTGAGTTCTTGGCTCAGTGAATTGGGAACTGAAGCCTGTGCATGTCAGGTGGTCTCCTTCTTCAGTCTCTCCCACCCACATGGCCGCTGTCCCTTTGGTGTTAGTCTCTGCCTTTTATGGTGCTTTCATTCTGCCAATTTTGTCTGGCCCTTATTTTTTTTTCATCTTGGCTGACTTCCATGCATTTGATATTCAGGTCTGGTTTTATAGTTTACTCACATGAGCTCAGGGCCTGGAACATTAAAGATGTCCCCAAATGATAAAAGCCACGAGGCCCTTTGTGAACTCATTCCACTTTCATAAGTTACATCTCTGCATTTTTTATTTCACTTCATCATGATACTTGATAAGTATTAACCGTACCATTTTTCTTTCTGAGTGGTTCGGTGGACGCTATGAACTATGCTTATGATTTCAGGTGTTGCTTTAGCCAAGTGCATTGAGCACCCACTATGGTCAGGTGATGTCCTAGGCCCCTGAGAGACTCAGAAATGGCCCTGCCAGAGAAGAGCTCACAGGTAACGATTTCATGGCATGTATTTCCAGCCCATTTGGGCAAAGTAAATGTCAAGGGAGGCAAAGAAGATACGATGGCTTCTGGATGGGCAGTCAGGGTGTGCTTGATGAGGAGGGGGCGTTTAAGGTGGCCTTTATGGAGGAGTAAGACTTGAATGACTGGTAGTGAGGATGAGTAAGCCACCCAGGGAGGTCCCAGTCCAACAATATTGTAAAAGCAGTCTGGGAAGAAGTCTTGGGCCCAAGTGGTAGCGTTTAGACATCACTTGGAGGCTCTTGAACCCAGGTCTGCTTACCCCTGAAGACTTTTCTGTTGCAGTGGCTGCCTCTGCAAATAACTTCTGTTTTGTTTGCTTGCTATTTATATTTGAGGTTTTGCACACGGTGGCTGATTTTGATGCTTGCCTTTTAAAAGACGTGCCTTAGTTATTAGTAGATTCACTTTTTAGTGATTCAGCCAAAATAGACATCTGTTCATAGGCAAGCGTAGAATGAGAGGTACCTCAGTTTTTCTTTTTTCTCAAAAATGCATTCTTAGTAACACTAGGAATTATAAGCAGTACATTAATTTTAAACAAGACACAGGAAATAACATTTGATGAAGGAACAAAGAAGAAATAAATGTTAATTTTAAGTTAAGATTCCCTCTTTTCTATTTAAACTATTTTTCCATTAGACTGCCAGGCTCTCAGTCTTCCTAAGATTTCCTTTACCAGGGCAGGTGCATTAGGCCTCTGGAGTCTGAAGCAGAGCTAGTCATGGAGGACTCTGAGAACATGGTGTTATAAAGCCTCATGTGATTTATACTCGATAAAGCTTCTTGTTCAAGCTGCACAAGAACTAGCTCATTCGGAGACAGTGTGGTGCAATGGTTAGGGTCAAGGACTGGCCCTGCCACTTAACAAGCTGTGCATTTTGAACCAAATTATTTAACATTTTGGAGGCTCAGTTTTCTTCTCCATAAATCAGGAAGAGTAATCATATCTATATCATAAGTCTGTCTTGAAGATTAAATAGACAATTATATATGTATATATATGTGTGTGTATATATATGTGTGTGTGTATATGTGTGTGTGTGTGTGTGTGTGTGTGTGTGTGTGTATATACATATAGTGTTTACCACAGCCCTTGGCACATTGTAAACATTTCATAAATATCAGCTACATTAGTAACATTATTTTTACTTAGACCTGGCTTCCTCTGCAGTGAGGAGGAAATTTTTTGAGTTTCTGGCTTTCCTAGGGAGCTGCTGGCAAGTTGTTGGAGCGGTCAATACTCCCATTTCCCATCCCTGGGGTGATAATGGACCACACCAGTTGGCAGAAAGAAGCCGTGTTCCTAGGGAGAGGGATCAGTTGTAGGTTAGACACACTGCCTTGAAATCACTTGGTGAGATTGTTATCATCTCGATTTAGACACGAGGAGACTGAAGATCAAAGACCTTAGTGCACATCGCTTGTGCCTGGTGGATCATATTCCACTCCACTCCATCCCGTTGTTGTTAATACACTATAACTGAATTGACCTGATTTAGTTAACTCTTGTTCCCAGTCATCTGCCCTGAAGCAGTGGCACCGTCATGTGGGTTTCTGACGCAGTGCTCATCTGCATTGCTGCTTTGAGTGGTTCCCCCATTTGGTTGGTATAGACAAATGTCCTCTGCTCATTTTTCATGGCTTGTCTTCCGTCAGTGTCCTCTGTCCTTTATCACGGAAGAGGTCTAACTCTATTTTCTAGTCAGCTTGATCTTTCTTCTTATGTGTCATTAGCATTCATTCTAGGTTTCTTTGAGATCCAATTCATGATTCAGCCATTTTTATACTTCTCAAAACTTTAAAACATGCATTTTTCAGAAAATAAAAGCTCATAAATACATAGAATTCTTTAATCAAATAAGAGGATGCTTAGAAACATATCATACCATACATAAAAATGTGTATGAGCTGTCATATTAAGGTCAAAACAAGCCATAGATATTTAAGGTTATATATTGTAGAAATTCTAATTTTTATTTCATAAATTTTACATAGGCACTCAGAAATATGAGATTTATAGTCACTATGTCCCTGAATTATTACTGGTAAGATCTCATCAAAACCTTGCCTTAGGAAATCTGTTTGTGTGTTTGTGTGTGTGTGTGTGTGTGTGTGAGAGAGAGAGAGAGAGATACAGAGACAGAGATAGAGAGAGAGAGAGAGAGAGAGAGCAGTTGTATGTAAGGAAAGGTATTATGTTTGTCACATAGCTAGTAAGTGTAGAACTTATAAGCTATGGTCTGGTTGGCTATGTGTTCCATGCTCATTGAAGGATCTGGGTTCCTTGTCTTCTCCAACTCTTCACAGATTTGCCCTTGAAACTCAAGTCTGGCTTTAGACAGGGCATTTCTTTTCAGATCCAATTTCCTCACAGTAAGCAAAATTAACTAGTCTGTGGCCTCAACCATACCACTGCAGTTTACTTACAGTATGTGGAGGAAAGAAATAATAGCCAAAAGCAACTCCCTTCACACAGTCTCAATTTCTCTAGAACCCTCAGTTTCAGATTTTTCTTTCTTCAAAATTTATTAGGTTTATAGCTCCATTCAGACCTTCCCATTTATTGAATGTTTGTGGTATCAGAGAATCTCTGCAGATCGAAATGTTCTCTAATAGTTTTACTATACTCAACCTAAGTGTATTATGTTGAAAATCAGAAAGGGTTCAAAATGAATTACTTAAGTCATTCCCTATTCTCAAAGATCTTACTTTCTAGTTTGGGACACAGGATGCATAAATGTTGTAATCAATATTCAATGAGCATTTTCTATGTGATAGGCACTCTTCTAGTTGCTACAGGTAAGAGTGCCTCTAATCTTTAGAAGGATCATGTAATGAAGATACTATTATTACCATCTCCATCTTACAGACAAGGAACTTGAAGTACAGAGATGTTAAGTAACTTGTTCAAGATCAAATGGGAAGTAAAATGCTAGAAATAGGATTTAAACCTGGGGAAACTTCATGTCCAAGCCCACACTCTTAACCCCTGTATTACTATGCTGCCTTTCCTTAAGCAAGGCTAAATCACATTACAGAGTGAGTGCATAATAATTGCTGTCTATTAAAAGGTGCTGAAAATCTGATTTAGATGAGTGCAGAAAGTGGAGAGCTAAAATAATAATTCTTCACATCTGCAGAGGTTGATATAATACACCTCCATTATCCCTTTAATTAATCCATTCCCAGATGGGAGCTATTCAAGTGAGAATCCCACAAGTACACTTAAAACACCCGTCTGGCTTTCTGAGAAATTATAAAGTGATTCACTGATCTGTAGTTTAGAGAACCAGGCACCCAAGCAACTTCAGCTGTGTTGGGAGCAATACTTTACTGCTTTTTGATTTCTTATTGGTAAAATGGACCCAATACCAGGATACAGAGAAGGTAATTAAACTGACAAAAAAGGAGCTTATTGAAATTCCATAATATAAACCTAAGAGATATACATTATATATGTATGTTACCAATACAATGTCTAATAGCTTTCTCTCTTTGAATCTGGTATGATAATATTTCTAAAGCCTATTTGATTTCTGGGCTCAGTCTGTGAATTTTCTATGTCTTACAAATCCTACTTCCAAAACATATCTACTATCTTGATTCTCTTTTTCCTTCCCATTGAGACCTTATTATGTTAGAAGACCAAGACAAACTGCACTATTTTCCCAGAAGCTTCTTCCAAGCCAACATAAACATATATACAATATTCACTTTTCCTGAGTCCCAAATATATCAAATATGACATCCTTACATAAAAATTTTCGATGAATTTAAATACAAACTCTATGGCACATCAGAGTTTATGTTTTATCGTCTTCTACACACGGACTCTTCTTGAGCTCTACAGAACTTTCTCCCATGTGAAACAGACCCCATGTGTTCCCTCTGGCTGAAACACCATTCATCAATTTCACTTCCAGTCCCAGAAATTACATTAATCCACCTAGGTCCATTTCAAGTGCAACTTTCCTTATTACTCTTCCAAACAGGTATAATCTTTTCCTCCCTGGAGCATGCATGTCACATTTTGTGTTTCACTGCTATGACACTTTTTAGTTTTGCTTGTGTTAAAGGAATTGTAATGATCTCACCCCTTCTTTAAGATACTGAGCTCCTGGCAATGTTCTTACTCTACCTTTTCCTGTGGTGCTGAGCACAAAAAGCTCTCACTAAATGATTGCCAACCCACTCTCAATTTTCTTTTCTGCACGCTTCATGATGACTTCTGTTTCTGAGAAAGTTTTAAAGTGTAAGACATTCGCCACTATTTTTTTGCGTTAAACAAGAATTTGCGTATGAAACACAGGTTCCTCATTTACTATCTTAACTGAACACAGAGAGAGGTGCATCTGTAAAATTAATAAGGCTCCCTGGGACCTGAAGGACAGGAAAGAAACTGCAAGGGTGCACAGTATAATCACAAAAGTGAGGACTTTTAACTTAGATCTTGAAGGATAGGCTGACTGTGAGCATCTCTTTTGATGAAAGGATACCTGCTTTACATGCAGATGGTGTGAAGGTTACCCATCAAAATGTTTATGAATAGTTAACACAATAGAAATGTTCACCGTTAGCATAACAGTGTACCCTTATAACCTATTAAGTAAACTCAGTGCTTTCTTTATGAAGCTAAATTAACAACCTTTTCAGTTTTGTCTTATTTTTAAAAAGCAAGCATTTGAAGCCCGCATTATTTTTTTTGTTGTTGTTGCTCAAGAAGGGAGCTTTAAAATAGCCCTCTTCTTGGATTCATTGCATGGCAGCAGTCCAGTTTCTTAGGCCATTTATGGATTAAGCCGTAGATCATGTGGAAGTATTTTCTGAAAGCTAGCTTGGGGGCAGCAATAAACTGCATTTTATGGTGTAGGCTGCTAAATGTGATTTTTTTTCTGTGGTGATCTGAATTGCTTTTGTCTTCCCAATTTTGTGGCACAGGTAAGTATTGGAGCACAAAAAAATGCTTGAAATGCAGTGATTACTTGGGAAATAGAGTTGAGCCTGCCACAGATTTTGGAAGCAGGTATATAAGAGTAGAATCAATGTATAAACTTGTAAGAGGTAGGTTATATCATAAAGTTTATGTTTATAAATTTTTAAGTTGGGTGTAATAATAATAATATCCACTGCATAGCATGATTGTGAGGACTAAATGAGATATGGTACAAAATTAGGATGGAGCTTAGATCATGACTATATATTAACTTCAGTATTAAATAAATAATGGTAAATCTATATTATAGTACACCATACAGCATTTAAATAATATTAGAGAAAAATATTTAATGACACAAACGTGTAAGTAGAAAAGCAGGTTACAAAATTGTCGGACCTGTCTTTGGTAAAAATATGTAAATGAGCTTAAAAAATTAATTTTTACCAATTATTGAAGGGTTTATATAGGTTAGTAACAATCTAAGAGGTCAAGGCAAGGCCATGTGCTCCAGAAAGTCATGATCAGAACTGACTCATTCATGTCCAATGTTGTTTGAGTTACTAATCTCTTTACCTTCTGGTGTGTCTTACTATGGTCTATAATTTGGATGAATTTTCTGTCTTTAACCTTTGATGTCTACCTAGCCCAGTTTAACATTTTTTATCTTTTCATTTCCAAGGATTTGAATTGAGAGAGAGGGGAAGGGTGTGCTTAAATCACCATCTTTTATTTTATTCTTTTTTGAGATGGAGTCTTGCTCTGTCACCCAGGCTTGGGGGCAGTGGCATGATCTCGGCTCACTGCAACCTCTGTCTCCCAGGTTTAGGTGTAAATCACCATCTTTAATCCAAAATCGATAATTTGTGTTTGTGTGATTTGGGCTGGTGGTGTTGACTTTGTATTGGAAATCTTACTGAATCCTGCCAATAGCTTCAAGTAAATGGGTATATTTATTTATTTCAAGAAGCATCAGCTATTCATTCACAAACAAGAAAGAGCAAAGAACTTGGAGACATATTCTGAACTTATCTGACTCCAGATTTCCCTGCACGGAACAAGACATTTTGACCGAAGTGGTTGTACTTATGACTACTCCCTGCAATGTACAGGATCATGATAGGGACGACAAACTGTCCCCAGATATTTGTTCTTCCTCTTCTACATTGTAGAATGGCTACTGGGAAGTTGCTGCCAAGTCCAGAATTGTAGATCTGCCAACCCACTCCCACCTTCATGTGCGGTCACATGACTGGCAAATATGAGCAAAAGTAGTCTATGTCTTTTCCAGACCTGCTCCATCAACACTTGTGTGCCTTTACACTTTTTCTCTGATGGTTGCCTATAACAAAGAGGGTGACCTTGGGGACCACATGTTCTCAGACAGAAGATTCTCTGAGAGCCTGGATCCTTGAATGATTGCATGGATCGGGGCCACTCCATGGACCGTTACAGTAGCCTAAAGCTGTTACAAACATCTATTGTAATTGAGCCAATATTTATTATAAGGTTTGTTTGCTATAGCAGTCTTCCTATCCTAATCAATATACTGGAGTTTGATATTTTACCTTTATAATATTTTTTCCAAGCTGTGAACACATGTTGAATTTTCTTTCATGTAATGAAGAAAAAAAAAATTAAGCTCCAATATCACACTGAGTATTACAATTTCTTAGCTATATACTTGGTTATCTATGAGTTTACTAGCAGCTCCGACAGAGGTTCTCAAGGAACTCTCTGGACCTGTTTTCATCTTAGAAAATCTTCTGATCAAAGTTCTTAAACATATATTTAAAGTGGGTTCATGATAGACACAAACATAAATCTTTTGAAAGTAATTTCCTATTTTTCTCACCAAAAAAATAATCGCAGGATGTGGAAGAGATTAGAACATAGTCAAAAGGACATAGTATGAAATGACCTTGAAAAGCAAAGTTCACTTCTTTCATCAACCTTCTCTCTTAGCTTTAGTGAGATATTTCATTTTACAAGGAACTATTTTGTGCACTAAAGTGGAATGCATAATTGAAGCTCCCTGAGAAATTCTTATAGCATTTTTTGTTGTTGTTTTAGTTCTTAGCTGACTGCCAAGACTTGAAATAAGAATTATAGAGTCTGCATAATGTTAAGGGAAAATTTAGGAATGGGCTATATGATTACTTTTCAAATTTTAATTTTTTAATAAAATAGAGAAATGAGAACACCTTACTTTCTTCATTGTGTAAGTTCTGAAAAGACACAGGCACTGTGATCCTTTAAAGATGAAACATGTCATTTACCGAGTCCTAGGAGATACTTGGGTTATTTGCCAAGCTTTTTCTTGGGATTAATCTTAATTCTAATTTCAAATATTATAATTTTTTAGTTGTTTTGCATTTTCTGAACTTCTTTATCTTTCCAAAAAATAATGGTTAGTTTTCGCTTTTTCCTGCTGAAACTAATTTGTTTTTAAGTTTGGTTGATTTAGCTAAATGATCTCCTCCCCATAAAACCTGATGCCTTATCTCAGTCCTTTCTCTTTTTGACCACTCAGAAACATTCAACACCTTTTTGCTTATTTTTTTACCTTGGATTTCCTGAAATATCTCAGGTCTTGTTCTTTTTTCTAGACTCCAGGCAGGGTCAGGTGTTCCTCTATATTGTAGAGCTTAAAATAAGCCAAGTGCTGTCAGTGTCAGTCCTGAAGACAAATCAAGAAAAAATATTTCTTTCAGTTTCTGAGTCTCTGAAAGTCAGAATATAAGCATTAGTGAATGATTAATTTCTTATGAAAAAATTCCCCTTAAATAAAGACATGTTGGGTTTTATTTCAAATTCCACCTACACTGCAAATCAGGAGCGTGTCCACTACAGGAAGTGAAGACCCATTTTTATGCTTCCTGCCAAGGGATGTAATGGCTCATCTCTCAGGCAAAACTCCTTCATCAGTGAGGTGCCGTTTATGGAAACGCTTCTCTTTTGCAGACACTAGGGGCTCAGTGTTGTGGTCAGTGATGAGTGGGGAAAGTGGGAAGAAGGAAGTGCAGATATTAACACAGCCTGTTCTATCTCTTCAGAAGGCATACCACTTATTAAGGATAGAACAATGATTACAATAACCCAAAGACAGTGTAGAATTTAATAAGTGATGTAACTGAGAAACTAAGTCTTATTTCAGAAGGCAGTGAAAGTTTATGTCTAGTTGTGATAGAGCAAGTTTCCTGAAAGTAGAGGCATCTGACAATGGAGAATGCATATAATATAGGCAAAGCAGGATGATGGCATTGATATTGGATTAAAGATAACAAAATCTCCAGGGGTGAAGGGGGTGATTATATGTGGCACATTTGTATTGCTCCAATTGGCCAAAGCTGAAAGTGAAGTGGAGAGGGATCACATCAATGAGAACAGGTCCTAGGGGTTCCCATATGGTAGCTTTTTCTATCCATCCTTCAAAATCCAGCTTAGGTATCATGTCTTCTACACAGCCCTTCCTGGTATTCTTTTCCACCTTCTGAATCACTTCCTGCTCAATCTCACCTCTATATCTTGCACACATGTCTACTGATACTTTTGCTACACCATGTTTATTTGCTGGTATGTCTCTCAAGATGGAGAGTTCATTGAGACAGAAGCAATACCTCATTTCTGGAAGCAGGATGACTGCCTGCTGTTTCGGAAGGAGGAACACAATAAATATTTGTGAAATTCAATTAAGTTGAATCAGCAGAACTTTTGGTTTAAATTCGGCCTTTTCCTAGGGTACTATCTAGTTAAATGTGGTTAAATGCCTCATGAGGCTATTAAAGGCTGTGATATAAACTTTAATATGCATATTTGATATTAGTGTACACTTTAAATACAGGCTTGATGACTAAGTAGATCAACTGTATTGAGTAAAAAATGTATTTAATAAGGAGCTGTAATTTTACCAAAGACGTAAGTGGGTAGCTGGAAACTATTTCATAAAAAAACACCAGAAACATGGAATCTTCCCAAAGACTAAAAAGTTACAGAATGATTCACCTAGAAACTATATAATTATTTCAGCTATTAAATTTTTTTTTAATTTAGAGCAATTTCTATTTAGAGGGCAATGTATAGCAGGGAGACATTTGTGTGCCTAGATGAAATAGACACATAATTCCTCTCATTTAAATCACTTTAGATCATATGACTTAAATCTTTTCAGCTCAGAATAAAAAGTGGTATTAAAAAAAACTAGAGGTTATAAGAATTAATCACTTTTTAAAGCCTAACTTTGTGTTTGATGACTCATAAAGTTTTTTAAAGTAAGTTTTAGAATAAATTAGTAAGAAATTGAATGTTGCCACCAGGCAAACCATTGTTCCCCTACCAGCCCTGTCCTGGCTTTTTGGCTTTGTATAAATTACTTAACCTCTCAGAATGCCAGTTAACACATCTGTAAAATAGTTATAATATATATATTCCAGGGTTATTTTAGAATAAACAAGATAATGTGTGTAAAACATCTTGCCCCCGGTAATCTGCTGTCTGTGTTTAGAAAATGGCAATCACTACAACAGATGCCTAGAAATAGATGATGATGGATACTTGTTAGCAGAAAGAACACCAACAAGAAGTAACGCATGTTTTTACCCAGCATTAAGGAGAAAAATCTGAGGATAATGTGAGAGGTATGTGGGATTATTCTAGTAACTCTGAATGGTGCTAATCCAGTGTACATTATTGTAGTAGTTTCACTTATACCATGGAAACATCTCGATTCTTACTCCCCATGACTTGTGAAGGGGTTATTCTAACTTGGAATACCAAACCCACATGCAGATGCTCTGACCAATAAGCACATTTTTAAAATCAACAGCAGTTTCACTGGCTACACCCTTGTTGTGAATCAACTGATACAAGAGTGAACAAATGGTTTTTATTGTTTTAAAGTTGTTGAGTGACAAACCATCCCAGTTTGCCAGGTAGGGGATTCCTGGGACAGAGGACTTTGAAGTGCTAAAACCGGAAAAGTCCTGGGAGAATGGAATGAGTTGGTCATCCACTAGGGGATTTATATTAGTCTGTAACGCAACCAGACTTGTGTGGTTGGGTGGACAGGGGAGATCTGGTCGTTCAAGGTTCTGTAAGATGGGCACCAGGGGCTGCTGGCCTAGTTCCCTACTTTTTGCTAATCAGCATCTCTAAATATGTGTGTGTGTGTGTATTTCCTTTGGTTACAATAGCAATACATCTTAAAGATTTATTTAGTTTTGTTATATTATAGATTTTAGTTCTCTATTTTTTAACATTTTTCTTCACATCTTAGAATGTAAGATAGAAATTTTTTATCTAATTTGTTTGTCTGGCAGATGACAGATGTCTGTAAAAGAAAAACGAAAATCATTCATCCAAACCCATTACTTAAAACTCACCGGGCCGGGCGCGGTGGCTGACGCCTGTAATCCTAGAACTTTGGGAGGCCGAGGCGGGTGGATCACGAGGTCAGGAGATCGAGACCATCCTGGCTATGGTGAAACTCCATCTTTACTAAAAATACAAAAAATTAGCCGGGCGCAGTGGCGGGCGTCTGTAGTCCCAGCTACTCGGGAGGCTGAGGCAGGAGAGTGGCGTGAACCCGGAAGGCGGAGCTTGCAGTGAGCCGAGATCCCGCGGCTGCACTCCAGCCTGGGCAACACAGCGAGACTCCGTCTCAAAAATAAATAAATAAAAATAAACAAACAAAAAAACTCACCAACAAACCAGAACAATTACCTTTGCTATTGCTTCATATTTCTTCCTGGCCATTTTTCGAAGTGTATTTGTTTTATATTTAGAAGTGTTAAGTATATGTGTGTAGCTGTATTTTTTTTATTGTCTAAATCATTCTGCCTGTGTAATTTAATATCATTTCCACCTAAGTGTAAGCATTGTCTCAGGTTAATCAGAAGTCCCTGGTGAATGTAATATGCCAACTGTGTGGAAGGTAGCATGAATATTTAGCTGTTCCTTTGTTGTTAGTCATTGAGGTCTTTCAGTTTTTCATTCTTCTAAATATGGCTAAAAATATCCTTAAAATTTTTTTTTTTTTTTTTGCATTTGGGATTATTTCCACAGACATGAAATTAATTGGCCAAAGGTAGAATTTTGATACATATTGTTCAAATTACTTTCCAGAAATTCTGTACCTATCCACACTCATTAAAGAGGTATAAGATAACCTATTAAATATTATGATTTGAATAATAATTAAATATTAATATTTAAATCATATATTATTCGAATAATATTTAATATTTAATAATACTTTATAATATTCAAATAAGTTGTGATAGTTTGGCAGATGTCAACGTTTGTTTTGTTTTACTTTACATTTCTTTAAGTCTTCTCCATCTCAATATCATAAAAAGTTTTTCTTACGTTTTTTATTTTCTTTTGACTACTTAGGAAAATAAATTTATCTGGACTTTATTTTATATAAGGTATGATATAGAGACTTACCTCTTCTTTTTCCCCTAGTAAACCACTATTGTAGAAGTATAATTTATTAAGTAATATGTCTTCTTCTTATTGTGTTTAATTTATAATAAATTATTTTATATATATGCAACAATTTCTGAATTTACAATTCAGTTTCACTGTTGTATTGTACTATTCCAGTGAAGTTGTAGTACTATTTTAATCACTAGAGATTAAAATTATGTTTTGGTGTAGGTTAGTTACTTTTTATATTTCAAAGTTAAAAAAATATTTTCTTACATATTTCATTCTGGATGACTTTTAGAATCAGTTTCTTTATATAAAGAAATATCTCCTGCCATGATTTTCATTTGAATTGGTTAGAATTTGTGCATTTGCTTTAAAAAACAGAATAATTCTCCAGGAAAAATATATAGTATTTGTTTTTCCCCTGTCTTTGTTAAATTTTTATAGTTTTCCTAGCATTGTGCTTGCCTTTACTTATGTTGTCAGGTGTGTTATTCCTGAGTATTTTGTGGGTTTTTTTCAATTGTGCTTGTTTTTATATGTCCTATTTGGAATGCAACCCAAGTTTTTCCCATTATGTTTTCTAATTCATTTATACCCTCCTGCAGTTTGCACTATTTTTGTCATGTCTTTTAATGTTATTTACATTTTAAACTTCACAGGTATTATAATTATTTTGTATAGTTAACATTTTGTCAATATTCATGTACATCTACTTACTTATCTATTTTTCTTTTTTTATTCTAACCTGCATTTACTTGATAGGCTCTGGGATCATTTTTCTTCCATTGGAACACCTCTCTCTAGTGTATTTATTTCAGTGAAAATTTGTTGGTGGAAGATTCTCTCTTTGTCTAAAAACACCACCAAATTCAATAACACATCAGAAATATGAAACACCATGTCCAAGAGGGACTTATCCCTGAGGTGCAAGGTTAGTTTCCACATGGAAATTAATGCTATACCTCTCATTAACAGAATGAAAGACAAAAACCATATGATCATCTCAAAAGATGCAAAAAATAAGCATTTGACATAGTTCAACATCCTTTCATGATAAAAACTCTCAACAAAATAGGTAAAGAAGCAAATTTCCTCAACATAAGGAAGGCCATTCATGAAAAATGCACAGCTTACATAATAACCAGTGGGGAAAAACTGAACGTTTATCTTCAAAGATCTGGTGTGAGCAAAGATGCCCAATCCCAGCACTTTTATTCAACTATCCTGGGAGTACTAGTGAGAAAATCAGACCAAGAAAAAAAAATCCAAACTGGAAAGGAAGTAGTAAGATGTTTGCAGTTGATATGATCTTATATATAGAAAACTCTAAAGAATCCATAAATTATCTGTTAGAACTGATAAATGAATTCACCAAAGCAGTTTGGGGCCTTATAACTACAAGGTTCTGTCTTATCAATAAGTGACTACTGTCCAGTGAGCTTGTAGGTTATGTAATACAGTTTCTAAATGACTACACATCTAATTATTTGAACCATTTAAAAAACAATTTTACATGTAAAACTTTAAGCTTAGAGCAGGTAGGCTTTTGAGCTAGTGGGTCTCAGCCTGTAGTGAAGAAATAAACAGTTCATGGGCCAATACACAGGGGTACTTTAGACTCATTTACATAGTAGTCTGCAAGTTCCTATGTTTTGATTTTTGTCTTTTGAGAGCACTGTATAAAGGTCATTTTACTTTTCTGAGATTCCTCTTTCTTAGAAGTCATAGCCTTTCTAGTTATTGTTGTCCGAGCTGTCCTTAACCAGATAATTTTTTTTTAATGTGGCTGTTTAAATTGTTCTATGAGGCAGCAGTAGTCTAATGTCAACTAGTCTATTCTAAAGCTGAAAGTCTTTATCTATTAACTAGTGAGTTTAGTCTGTTTATGTTTATTGTGATTACTAATATATTTGGACATATTTGTTATTTCTATGTGTCATTTTTTTATTTGTTTCTCTTATTTTGCTTTGAAGTAACATGTTTTATTATTATGCCCTTTTCCTTTATTAGTTTGGAAGTTATATGTAGAGTTTCTATTTCTATTCAATTGGTGATTACTCTCTCACACATAACTTCATATTGTAATCAAAATACAAATTATATATGTACATTTATTTTAATCAAAATCTAAGTTTATTGTTTTAATCACAACCCCAATATATGTATATATAAAATCTTATACTGAAGCTCCCATCTCGACAACATTCTTCCCCAACACACACACATAAGCCCACAGATAGTCTTCAATTTTATTTTTAATTCCATAGTGTTTTTAAACTTACAGTAATAGTTAATTTTGCTAAATATATATTTAGGCTTGCCAAATATTCTGTTGATATCTTTGTACATCATTGCTTCTTATATCCCTTTTCTCCCTTTCAGATTTTTAGAATACAGACTTTATTGATTCTTTTAGTAGAAGAATAGTTTTGAATAACAAGTTCTCTTAATCTTTAGATGACACAAAGTGTTTTTATTTTGCCCTCAATTTTGTCAAGCTGCATATATATTTGACTCTGGTAGTTATTTTCTCTGAATATATTGAAGTGTTTTTGTTTTCATTTTCTTCCATTATTAACAGAGGCTGATAATGTTCTTATGCAAGTAATCGTTCCTTTCTCATTAGCAGTTTTAAACTCTTCTCTTTATCCTTGAAACTCAACATTTCACTAAATATATGTAAGAATGTATTTGTATTTATTTGTACTTTTTTTCTGTGCCTTTTAAATTTGAAGATTTAAATCTTCCTTAAATTACAACTATTATTTCTTCAAATTTCTTCATATTGCTTCTCTTCCATTTTCTCTACTTTTTTTCTGGAACTCATGTAAAAGTTATATCAGAAATGACAACCGTTCTTCATGTTCTTAACTTTTTTTTATTACATTTCTTACCTCTAAGATTCAGTACTATATTTTGGTTATTTTTCAGATATCCTTCCAAATTTATTATTATTTTCCTGAAATAATTATATCTCCTAATGATTTTATTTTTTTAATTTGTAGTTTTTATTTGGCTTCTCTTGTTCTATAATCTCTCTTTCTTGCCTTTTAAATATTTGTATCTTATTACCCTAAACATTTTACACACACCTACTTTAAAGTTCTGTCCATTTATTCTGTTATCTTTATTTCCACAATGTGACTCCTTCTGTTTGTGAATTTCTGAGGCTGTCTTGGTGTTATTCTTTATCATAACTAACACTGGAGATGCATATTATAGAATTTCTCTATATATGCTTTTGTCATTGAAAGATTCCCTGTGAAAAGATCTCACAGGTGATTCTGCCCAGGTTCCATGGGATTCTTCAGTATTAGCTAACTTTTAGGCTAGGTTCTTAACTCTGGATTTTAAAAAGTATTCAGTTAGTATAAAGTTGGAAAAAGAGCAAGTGGTCTGATTTCTGGTCACAATTATCTTTTCCAATCACAGCCTGGGATATACTTATTATTTCTTTAAATGTCTTCATATTTACAAAAATATGGCTTTCATCTTTCTTATGATCCTAGGAGGTAGGTATTTTTCAGTTCAGTTGATGCTCCCTTGTGGATCCTTATAACATCTGGGAATCAGACTGTAGCTTCCTTGTGGAAGTTAAAGCCCCAGCTCCTAATGTTTGTTTCAGATTCCAGTCCCCTAGGCATACTAGACCTTCAAGCACTGGTCACCACCATGCCTAAGGTTTATTCTTAATTCCTGGGACCTATAAAATTCCCCCTCTGACTTATGAGCAACAACAAAAAAATGAAGTCTACCTGTAGTAGTTTGAAGTTAGAGGGAAAGCTCTTGTGTGTATTCATGCTGCTATCTTACCCATAAATTTCTATTAAAGGCCATTAAAACACTGCCATTAACTTCATTGCTAAGATTTCCTTCTATGCAGGTAGTTTGACAAGTGCACAAAAATAAGTTCTTGAGTATGTCCATTGTAATACAGAAAAAGTATAATGACTCTAAATCTCCTTTAATAGGAACATCTCTAAATAAATGATGTAGAGGAATATGATAGAGCCAGCAGACATGCTGTAAAATTATATTTATTTTTATGGAGACATGAAAGCAATGATTAAGATGAAGATGAAGATTATAATAGCTAATTCTTACATGGAGCTTGCTCTGTGCCAGGCACTATTCGAAATGCTTCATGTATGTTAGCCCATTTGATTTACTCAACAACCCCAGCTGGTCATATTATTTATCTCCCATTTTACACACAAGAAGCAACAAACCATTAAAATGTCATGGTTTGTGTAAAATATGGGAACCTGCACACATATTTATAAAATATCCTTTTGGAGTGAAGAATAGACAGGGGAGAGTAATAAGTGGCTGGATAACAGAGCTGGGAGGGAGATTTTTAAGCTTTGATCCATCTAAATGTGCTACAATCTACTTTAAAAAGAAATAAGTAGCAGTCAAAAATGGAGATGTTTACCTGGGCCTGGACTTTGTGTTCGTGTGTATGCACAGAAGGAATTTTGAGGATTTCAGACAGAGAAGCACATGGACTCTATAGGACTGGGGCATAGATGAATAGTATTGATGACTACTAGTGAGTATTTGTGACTGGCCAAGACATAGAGTATGAGAAGTGGAAAAACAAGGGCATACTACGGATGCATTTATGCTCAACACAAGTCTTTTAGGACACTCTTGATATTACTTATAACAGATTTTCCCTATGAACACAGTACCGTGTGATAGCAGGTCTTTGCAAATATTGGCACAGCTCTGATTTACTTCTGTTCCCAACTCTATGTCGTCCTTCTCTTTTTCTGAAGTTTATTTATGCATTGCAGAGAATAAATCACATACTACATTTGAATAAAATCACCCTGACAAAAAATGTTTCCTTTTATCTCTTATCCATTTAAGGAACAGCAAGTCATTGCTCTTCTTATTTCATGTTCTTAGTAGATCACTTATGTTTTAGTTTTAAAATTCTCATTCTTAATTGGTTCCCAAGATACTTCTAGAAGTACAGTTTGTTAAACCTCCTGTCTTGAATGAGGGTCCTGGGAATAGTAGATTGTTTTAAGGTGAAATATCGTCAGTATGCAAGTTTATTCTGGGAGGGAAGCTGATGATGACCATAGGGAGTACTTGAGACTTGAGATAACCTTGATGATATCCAGAGATTATTTCTCTTGGAAAAAAAGTGAGCATTCTGGAAGTTTTGGTGTACTATGGAGAGGCAGCAGGAAAAGAGAGAATAAGTACTACCTGCTTAAGAATCACAATGTGGTGGCTAGAACTGGCCAAGCTTTTGATTAGATGTGTGTTGATATTGCAGTTCTCCCCAAACATGTACCTTTATGATATGGCTGCATCTTTTGTATCAGAGTAAAGGGTTTCATGCTGTATTAGAACAATTTTATTCTAATTTGAAGGATGCCTCTGAGAGTGTCAGCTGGCATCTATGATAATATGGGCACAGGACATTGGTGGGTCACAAGACAAGCCTTAGAGGCTGCAAAGAGTATTCTGGTTCTTCCTGGGTGTCTAATTCTGGGAATCTGACTTCAGAGATGGTCTCATTACTGTGATATACAGCTACAACCCTGATGGTGGATGAGAAAGCATGGAGACAGGGAAAGGGACTTGGAAAGTGTGACTTCCATAGTGCATGCTTCAAGTATACTAATAGTCTATTTGTTCACCCTTACATTAACACCATATCTAGTAATTACTGTAGTTTTATAAGAAATCTTGATATTCACTTGATATCCATTTGAGTCAGTTCTCGGACATCATTCTTCTAATTATCTTGGCTACTCTTGACTGAATTTCCACATCATTTCAAAATGTCTGTCAATTTACACAAAGAAATTGTTTTTGTTTTCTTTTTATACTTTTATTTTAGGTTCAGGCATACATGTGAGGTTTATTATATAGGAAGATAACATATCATGGGGGTCTGGTATACAGAAGATTTCATAACCCAGATAATAAGCATAGTATTTGATTGGTAATTTTTTGATCTTCACCCTCCTCCCGACTTCCATCCTAAAGTAGGTCCTGGTGTCTGTTGTTCCCTTCTTTGTGTCCATGTATATTATTTGTAAGTAAGAACATGTGGTATTTGGTTTCTGTTCCTGCATTAGTTTGCTTAGTATAATGGCCTCCAGCTCCATCCATGTTGCTGCAAGGACATGAGTTATTCTTTTTTATGGCTGCATTGTATTCCATGGTGTATATGTACCACATTTTCTTTATCCAGTTTACCTTTGATGGGCATTTAGGTTGACTCCATATGTTGGCTATTGTGAATAGTGCTGTGATGAATGTATGCATACATGTGTCTTTATGATAGGATGATTTATATTCCTTTGGGTATATACCCAAGAATGGAATTGATGGGTCAAATGATAATTCTGTTTTAAGTTCTTTGAGGAGTTGCAAACCTGCTTTCCATATTGGCTAAATTCATTTACATTCCCACCAGCAATGTATAAGTGTTCCAGTTCCCTTTTCTCCACAATCTCGCCAGCATCTGTTATTTTTTGACTTTTTTATAATAGCCTTTCTGACTCGTATGAGATGGTATCTGATTGTGGTTTTGACTTGCATTTCTCTAATGATTAGTGATGTTGAGCACTTTTTTCACTTGCTTCTTGGCCATGTGTGTGTCTGCTTTAGGAAAGCCTTTTCTTTGTTTTTAATCCTAGTTCTTATAACTAGATTTTCCTCTTGGAGGTAAAAGCACTGCTTCCTTTTCATATAGGAACGTGAATCACACATCTTAAAAGAGATAATATAATTTCATTTTCTCTAATAGACTATAAGAGCCATGAAATAAATAATATGAGGTAAATAAGAGCCTTTGAGGTTTTGACTTCTCATTTAATTCATTATATTGATGTCCACTTGGGTCACCTTTTATGTTATTTTGTGTTATCTTCTTCTCTTTTGTAAAAGTTGGCTTTAGCGTCCAACTTAAGTTTCCAAGCGGCCTTTAAAAGCACCGCTAATTATTAACTCACTCCTGTCAACTCAACTTTTTCAAGCCAATTATGTCAGTTAATGTATATAAATTAATAACCAGACATTATTTTTATAACAGGATACCTATTTTATTTTCTATTTTAGAAATGATTGAACTGAGATACAGGGAGATTAAATAACTTGTTCAAGTAAGCAGTTGGAACTAAAGTAGAAACTCCAGACTTCCTGACTCTACCTACTGATATTTTTGCTGTTGCACTGTGCTTCCTCCAAGCTTCTCAGACTCTCCCTTTGACTTTGTCATTCTTTCCATCACGAACAGCTTTGTATTAGTCTGTTCTCACATTGCTATAAAGAAATATCTGAGACTGGGTAATTTACACAGAAACCATTGGCTCATGGCTACATGAACCATTGGCTCATGGTTCTGCAAGCTGTACAGGAAGCATGGCAGCATCTGCCTCTGCTTGGCTTCTGGGGAGGCCTTAGGAAACTTACAATTACGGCAGAAGGTGAAAGAGGAGCCAGCACTTCACATGGCTGGGAGCAGGAGCAAGAGAAAGAGAAAGAGATGGGGGAGGTTCTACACACTTTTAAACAACTAGATCTCCTGAGAACTCTGTCACTAGAACAGCACTAGGGAGATGGTGCTAAACCATTAGAAACCGCCCCTGTGATCCAATCACCTCCTGCTAGGCCACACCGCCTGCTAGGCCGCACCTTTAGCACTGGGAATTACATTTAAACATGACATTTGGTGGGGGGGTGGGAATGCAGATTCAAACCATATCAAGGCTCTTCCTTATTTTCCCCTGGTGAGATCCCACCTACTAATTCACTTGCAGCATCAGTCCCTTCTTACCCTAGAAACTGCTTCTGATAACTCACGTCACAAGCAGTTTTTTTCCTATCTGAATTCCCAGAGCTCTTTATACCTCTCACATGTGCTTATCTCTTTCTGCTCTGTATTTATACAAGTCAGTTCTCCCCAGCAGGACTGCCAACATCTTGATGGCAGTAATTGCTTCTTATATATTTGGTATTAACAATGCCTACCTCCAAAGACAACATAGGGTAAATGCTTATTGCTTGCTTAATAGATGAATAAATTAATTCAGTGAGAATATGAAATGTTTTAATATACCCCAGGGACAGACATTCAGAATTAAGACGGAGATGGAGAGAGAATGTTATCAACAACAACAAAAAATTTCAGATAGCTGCCCCTCTCAAATGGGAAGAAAGTTAGTATCATTAGCAGGAAAATTAGGTGACACTTATGCTGATACATTTGTTGTTTCCCTCTAGAGACAACAGTCTATCCCAATATGCTGTGCCAGGGCTGGGATAACTATCCTTGTGGTCTGAGGACAATGTGTTTATTATGGCCTTAGAAATAGAAACTGGGGCTGTGCTATAAATCCTATCAGATATTGAATGGATGCTTTCACCTTCTTCTTAAGATAAGCCAGAAGTTTCATTCTTTTAAGAAAAATGAGAAAGTGCCTTGTTTATTGTGAGAACACAGGTCACCTGAAAAGGCAAACAGTTTTCAAATTAAAGGTGGTATCTTGTGTATTATAGAAAACAGGAATGTATGGGTTTCCCAGAGTTTCAGGAAAAGCACAACTATCTGGTTGGGGGCTGCTGCTGCTGACCTATCTTGGGAACCACCCTTAGCCACTTAATCTTTTAGGACTTCAGTCTTTCAGCTCCCAAGTGGGAAAGGTAATTTTCCTGTATCATGGTAAGGATTAGCTGTACAATAATGTATATAAATGTGCTCTGTGCACTCTACAGCATTGGACAATTGTAAGGGAGTGTGCACACTGGTGTGGTGGCCAGGTAATTGAGCTGGGAATTCGAAGGCCCGAAGCTAAGATCTGCAAATTTGAAGGCTGACTTTCTCTAGACAAAGCAGTGGAGGGTGGGGCAGGGGCTGTACCCTCTCTTGCTTGACCTCTCTCTTCACCCAAGAGTCTTCCTAAAATGTGGTTTGAAAGCTATTATCTTATCTCACTTGATCCTCACTATTCACTTATGTTTATTATTAACCCTACTTTAGAGATCACAAACCTGAAACGTATATGCCTTGCCCCAGGTCACACAATGAATAAGCAGTTGAGCCAAAACTTTCATAAAGTTGTCTGACTCTGTGTGATGTTTCTAGGGGAGAATAATGATTCTCTTCACTTTGACAACAGCAACCAGGGAATAATGAACCTATGCATTTATAAAAACTGACACCAGGCTTTTAAAATGGAGCGTTTAGTGTGGTTATAAAGGTGTAAATCCTCTTGTGTTTGTAAACTTGTACACACTGAAGTGGATGAATTATTTAGCAGACAAAAACAACTTGTCTTCTATCATTGCAGAGTGGGGAAGGCAGCGTTTGCTGGCAGAATTTATGACTTTGACATCTCAGTCTACATTGTCCTTTTGAAAGATCAAGGTTTTCTGAATCTATATGATCTGCATCCACAGTTTCAGTGATGTAAACAAAATTTTCTAAAGGAGGAATTTCATTTCATAGATACTAATAGCAAGTCTCTGAGTACTGTTAGTTTTCTTACTAAAATTCTAGATTGGAAGACACTTTCATATTTTTTAGCCCAATACCTGTCTAGCACTTTGACCCTCTCTTTAAAACCATCAGACTGTGTTCATCGACCTCTTTTTACACATATCCATAGCAAAAGAGTCTGAGACCCAGGAGGAGTGGAGCAAGGTCATAGAGACTGGAATCCGAGACATGAACTGGAATTCTGTTCCTTATAAGATATATGATCCTTGGCTTGTTACTTAAAAGCTATGTTCATTTATTCATTCATTATTCACCCACAGACGCTGACTGAGTGTCCATCATATGTCAGACACTGTGCTAAGAGCTGCATGCTCAGTGATATCTATGAGCCATGGCACTTGTCTTCATAGAGATTGAAGGCAAAACAGAGGTGATACCATGAGATAATGGACATGAAAGTGCTTTTGCAATTTAAAAGTCTGATAGCATGCTAGATATAATCTTCTGAGGTTGAACATTAGTTGTAATAGTATTAAAATATAATTTCATAGAAATGAAATTTTGGTTTAAATAAATTGTAACAGTAGGTCTAGGGAAAACAGGCTGCCCTGATGGAACTGTTCCAAGACACACATGGACACAACAGGTGCTGGGTGCTGACCTACCTTTCCAGGAGAGCATGTGTGGTAGGTGGAGAGGGTCAGGAGTTGCTGTGAGGTTTTGGAAGAAGGTGGAATATGAGGAGCTGGAACTGAGTGTTAAAAGACTGTGTGCTGTGAGATGTGATCCAGTCTCTCAGGCATTCAAGTTTTCTTAAATATTACCAAACTCAGGAACTACTAACAAAAAGTATGATTAGATTTCTTACACAGAATTGTAAGTAAAGGAGTTTTGCTTTGGGTCTAAGTTTTTTAAGGAACAGAACCCAGGTAGCACCAATGAAGTGAAAGTAGAGAGAGTTTGTAAAAGGAAGTGAATCATGGCACCTCAGGGAGGACTGAGTACTGCAGTACTTGGTATTTGGGACTTATTTAACCAGATTTTTGCATCGATCAGCCTTGGATAAGTAATATGCAGAAGTAATGTAGGCCAGGTGTGATGGTTCACACCTGAAATCTCAGCATTTTGGGAGGCCGAGGCGGGTGGATCATTTGAGGTCAGGAGTTTGAGACCAGCCTGGCCAACATGGTGAAACCCCGTCTCTATTAAAAAATTATCTGGGCGGTCGTGGCATGCACCTATAATCCCAGCTACTCAAGAGGCTGAGGCAGGATAATTGCTTGAGCCTGGGAGGCAGAGGTTGCGGTCAGACGAGATTGCACCGCTGCACTCCAGTCTGGGTGACAGAGTGAGACACTGTCTCAAAAAAAAAAAAAAAATGAAAAAAGAAAGAATGTAGCTCAGGCTTCATGCTGGGTGTGGGTCAGCTGCAGCTCTGACCACACAGCTTCATTCTATTAATCTATGCTGTGGAAGCAGCTGCTGGTTGGGACATGCTGTTCTCATGGTAAGAGGAAAAGAGTGGTGTTAGGAGCCTTTAAATCTTCTGCAAAGCAATATTACTTCTTGATATGGTTTGGCTCTGTGTCCCCACCCAAATATCATGTCAAATTGTAATCCCCAATGTTGGAGGTGTAACGCCTTCAACACAACACCTCTCTAGTGGGAGGTGATTGGATCACAAAGGTGTAATTCTCATGAATGGTTTAGCACCATCCCCTCTTGGTACTGAATAGTGAGTTCTCAAGAGATTTGGTTGTTTAAAAGTGTGCAGCACCTCCCTTCTCTCTCTTTTGCTCTTGCTCCAGCCATGTAAAACATGCCTGCTTCCCTGTTGCCTTCTGCCGCGATTGTAAGTTTGCTGAGGCCTCCCCAGACGCTGAGCAGAAGCCACTATGCTTCCTGTGCAGCCTGCGGAACTGTCAGCCAACTAAACCTCTTTTCTTAATAAATTACCCAGTCTCAGGTATTTCTTCATAGCAGTGTGAGAATGGACTAATAAAGTTCTGCTCACATTTTATTGGCCAAATGAGTCACACAGCTGAGCCTGATGTCAGTGTGGCAGAAAGATATGATCCTCTTACAAAATGCAGCAGTTTAATAATTGAGAACTATAATTAATCTTCTACAGTATCTAAGGGCAGGGAGACACAAGCTGACATCGAGATGACATGGCCATAGAAGTGAAGTAATCTATGGAGACCCAGGATTTATCCAGCCCTTAAATTAGGAAAAGTGATAGAGTGGTGAGAGTGATGGAGAACGGAGTAGTAATAAAGGATGCAGACATAAAGGAAGATTAGGATTTTTTTAAAAGTTTTGAGTACCACAGGGAGAAATGTGTATCTTTTTTTTTTAGAGGGAAGTAGTTGTTATTTTTTTGCAGATAGTAAATAATTTTAGCACTGTTTCTGGTGGCAATGTGAAGGATGGATTAAATAGATGAGAAATATAGTTAGAAAAGTCAGTAGAATATGGGCAGAAAAGTCCAGAAGGGTACATACCAGTGGTAAAGTCAATGCAAGTGAAAAAAAAAAAAGGACGTTTCAAAGACATATTTGTCAGGACTTGGATGTATGTTTGTTGTCATCAAGCTGGTAAGAATTTTACTGTTGTACCATCTTATTAATGTAAAATTTACAAATGATTTTAGTAGAGTAAATAATATGGCAGCATGGATTATTCAGCCTGCTTAGAAACAGATGCCTTTTTAAAGCAAGCTGGAAGCTTACCAGCAGCTTCATCCAGGGATGATGACCTCAAAGAGCAAATCTCACTCACAGGCAGGATAGAAATTCTGCTGTTACCCACTGGGATAGCTATAAGAGTAACTTATAGCTTATGTGCATTCTGATTGACCCCTGATGATTGGTTGGGGCCCATGACTTACTGGCTATGAAATGTTTTGAATACCATCCTTGCCCACAAGATCAGTTTATCTGTTTCTTTATTTTTCTAGTCTTCATGATATTACCAAGTGGGAACCAAAATGGGTATCCAAATTCAATGATTCCATACCCTTTCCCAGAATACAGGCTTATGTTGCTTAATCCTCTTGTAAAAACCTCATGAGAGCACACATTGATCCACAGCTGAACATTCTGCCTTGACCTAATGGCCTCCTCATCTCTCCATTGGGAGAGGACTAGAGTTCCATCCTTACTTCCAGCACAGCTCCCACCACGGTCCATCTTCATGAGCCTTGGTTGTGACTGTGGTTGAGTATTGTCTCTCAGATCCATCATGTCAGCCCAGATATCTCCCATCTTCCTTGGCACTGACCATCTCCCAGATTCATTGGATTAGAAACTAACTTCCCAGTTGCTTCTCCCTTCCTTCCTTCCTTACTTCCTTCCTTTCTTTTTTTCTTTCTTTCCCTCCCTCTCCTCACCACCCCCTCCTCTTTTTCTTTCTTCCTTTCTTTCCCTCCCTCTCCTCATCACCCCCTCCTCTTTTTCTTTCTTTTTTTTTCTTTCTTTCCACAGTCTAGCTCTGCTGTCACCCAGATTGGAGTTCAGTAACATGATCTCAGCTCACTGCAACTTCTGCCTCCTGGGCTCAAGGCCTTCCGGGTTCAAGCAACCCTCCTGCCTCAGCCTCCCGAGTAGCTGGGATTATAGGCACGTGCCACCATGCCTGGCTAATTTTTAAATTTTTTTTTTTTTTACCTAGAGACAAAGTTTTGCCATATTGGCCAGGCGGGTCTCGAACTCTTGGGTTTAAGCAATCCTCCCACTTCAGCCTTCCAAAGTGTTGGGATTACAAGCGTGAGCCAGCACGCCTGACCTGAAACTTTCTTTATATCCAAGCAACCAAGTCAAAAACTTTTCTCTGCTATCTCCAGAAGGAAAGAAACTTCTGCTTCTCTTCTTTCCTGTAACCTGTTCCTGTTGAGATCAGGGTGATCCCTCTTATCCTTGTGGGGTCCTTCTCTGCACACTCAATCCTCCTAGTGCATCCTTTTCTTTATTACACACTGAATTTCAGTCTTGTTGCATTAATTATATACCAATAATAATTTAATCATACAGCACTCTCATCCATCATTAAACTCAGGTCCCCTAAGGCTTCTCATTTCCCAGCAGTTTATAATGCTAATTTTAGTTAAGTTCTGTTATCTTCTCTGGAATACTTATGCAGGCATCTTGTTCTCTACCCATTTCCTATATGTTGATGTTTCTCAGGATGCTTATTGTTTTCCTCTACTCATTCTGCTGGCGAGTTCATCAACTGCTTATGTTTGTTGAGAAGAACTGGAATTTTCTCTCTAATTCTCATCAGAACATATTTAGACTTGCCTTTTTATTTTGCTGATAAGAAAGAAAGGAAATTGATTTTGGTTTCTGGCACATAGCAAAATGAGGGAACTTTTGTGTAAGATAAAGAAACAACTACTTCTTCTTGTCATGTACTTTCATAGTCCCATCTTCTGCCTGATGTATAATTTCATCTCATCTTCTCCATGCTTAGCTGGAACTTTCCATGCCTATTTATGACATAGTCACTGAGGGCTGAAATCTCTCTCTCTCTCTCTCTCTCTCTCTCTCTGCGTGTGTGTGTAGCCCATCTCTCTTTAATTTTATTTCTATTCGTTTTTCATTATTTCTCGGTCAACATTATGATAGTTACCAAACCCAGATTTCTCTGGCTTTGAAGCTGTCTGTGGCTCACCTAGCAGAACTATCTCTCCCACTGACTAGTATTGGAAGGAGTGACCGTAGTTCCAGAGCATACCAACTCCCAATTCGGCAGACACAATAAACTGGATCTTGCAGAATATTTTTTTTTTGGCTTTACCAGGGTGGGGAAATCAGGTTTTCTGTTACCTGGCCTGTAGAAGTCTAGTTCTGATTCTTTTCAGGGACTGTATTCCAGAAATGTTCCCAGCAGTAACAAAATAAATCTGAGGAGTCAGTTACAGGTGTAACTCTGATCTGACAACCACGTTTAGATTGGGACTGTCTTTCCTAAAGCAATCACATATTTGAATTATTGCCATATTTGTTGTATGCATTGTTAAATATAATACATCTCTCTTTAAAAGCAAGCTTAGAGTTTGGCACAATCACAAGGAATTATTAACTGATATAATCTGGAAGGAAAGCAAACAGTTATGATCTCAGGGCTAATCCGAATTCCCTAGCAACTGTGAGTTTTTTTTTTTTTTTTTTTTTTTTTTTTTTTTTTGTCTAGCACGTATATCCCTACTGGACTCCATATGTGTAACTAGATTGCTGCTGGACTTTTCTTTTTTGGATGTTCTATGTTAAACTACATTTAAATTGACCCATCATATTTTCTCTCAATTCTCATTCTGTGTTCCACATCTCAGTAAATGTCACCAAAATTCACTAACTCTTTTACTTCAGGAGCAAGGATGCAATCATTAGTACCTTTGTCTTCCTCATTCCTTCTCAATTTCCAAGTTCATTCTGTATTTTCTTCAAAGATTTGAACTCACATTTTTCTCACCAGCCTCACTGCCATGCCACAGAGGAATTCATCTGAACTTGGTGAAATTAATAGTTTATAGTCTGTTTTAACATCCAATTGTATTTGGTTTTGTAATGTTCTATACTACATGCAATGGTCTTTTCACTCCAAATAGATAAACTTTCTCGAAGGTAAATATTATATTACCTACCTTTTGGCATATGCATTGTTTTAATTCTGGTGCTAGAGCTATACATGTAGTACATTTAAATGTAGTTTTGAATTTGGTATTCTTGGATAGAACTGGAGGTCATTATGTTAAGTGAAATAAGCCAGGCACAGAAAGACAAACTTCACATGTTCGCACTTATTTATGGGAGCTAAAAATTAAAACAATTGAACTCATGAAGGTAGAAGGTAGAATGATGGTTACCAGAAGCTGAGAAAGGCCATGAGAGTGGAGGGTTGGGGAGGGGAGTGGAGATAGTTAATGGGTACAAAATAAAGTTAGATTGAATGAATAGGATCTAGTGTTTGATACTACAACAGGGTGATTACAATCAACAAGAATTTATTATATATATGAAAATAACTAAAGATTTTAATTGGATTGTTTGTGACAAAAAGAAAGGATACATGCTTGAGGTGATGGATACCCCACTTACCCTGATTTGCTTATTATGCAATGTATGCCTGTATCAAAATATCTCATGTACTCCATAAATATATACCGCTACCATGTACCCACAAAAGCTAAAAGTTAAAAATTAAAATAAATAAATAAAATAAACTTTCAGGTTAAAAAAAGGAAGTTGATGTTCCTCTTAAAGAGTCTGTGGAAATTTTCTTCTTCATAAGTCACCTCACAATCCAAATATAAAGGCTAAAGTTGGGCCCACTGGCTAGTTGAACTTGTGTCATCCTAAAGCAGCTTAATTGTAGTATTGTCATGCTTTAAGAGCTGGGAAAATTGAGGAACATGAGATCAGACACAGCCAAACTTAACTTTCACTGAGGCTGCTGCCCCTCCTGTGGGTATAATATTTCCGTTCATCAAAAGATTTTTTTCCTTACTTAATGTACTTACCATGTGGTTTTATTAGAATGAATAGCTCTCTCCTTGTAAATGCATTTGGTTGGAAATTCAATTTCTTTCAGGGCCAGTGGGAGAGGTCGAAGGGCTATAAATATTCCTTCTCCAAACTGTTTATAAGTAAAATGGCATTGCCTAAGAGGCCTGAAAAATGTTGCGCTATATCCTGAATTATGTACAAATCCCTGGCAATCTTCTGTTTCTTTCTTTGATGAGGACAGATTTTACAGTCTCCCTCAGTGATGAGTTATGTTCGTAGTTGTTTTAATGGATAGCTGTGTCTATGAAGAATGAGAGTGATCACCAGGGCTTCAACTCTAACTCCTGACTTTTCTTTTAAACCTGGGGACTAGAAATTCTCATCATGCCTCCCTCATTGTTGTATCTAGTGTTGAAATGAGGAGACCTTGGTAGAACCTACTAACCCCTCTGCCTCTGGGTTGTGCAACTTTGGGTAAGGCCCACAACTACTTTGTTCTTATTTTTCTTGTGTTAAATGAAACTATTATCTTCTATGCATTCCTCCCAGGCTTGATGTAGATATAATTTTAGTCCCATTTTCAAAGTCAGTTTTTAATTCATTCCATCAAATAATTAGTTTCATAGCATATTTCTGGGTGGCAAGCATGCACAGACAAAAGAGATAATGCAATGCTTTTGTGAAATCACGTACATTGTCTCATGTGATTTTCCTCCTCAGAATGATTGTTGGTCTGGGGAAAAATAAGAAAATTTTTGGTATTGTCCTCTTTAATTGAAAAGTGAGGTTCAGTAGGAAAGAAATGAAAACTACAATTTTGTGAGTGTCTACTATATGCCAAGCACAAGCTGGATGCTAAATATGTAAATTGGATAGCTACCAGCTGATTTCATTTACATCCACTCTTGAATGGGTTTACATCCATTCTAACTTGGCTTCCTCCTCATGTTTTCATCACCCCCAGAGGTATCTAAGCCATCTATTGTGGAGTCTTAATTGGGTCCAGTATCGTGGAGAAGTAAATTGGCCCTGCAAAAGAGTTAATTGGAATGTGGGTGGTAGCAACTCTGAAAAACTTGTTTTCATCCTGCGTAAGTAATGGTGTGAGGCAGGGAGGAGTATGTTGTGTTTGCTGACTTGCTGCATGAAGGATAATTAGGTGCTACATCAATGTGAAATAGGATGGCAAAATGAGACTCTTTCTATTTCATTTTAGGCTGAAGGTCCCAAAGACAGACAGTTATACAAAGCAAAGGTGATAACTCAGCTGGCCAAGGAAGTCCTCTAATTTGAGACCTCAATTTTGAGATCTTAATACCTAACTAAAGATAGATTCAGATATTAAAATCTACCTGTTAAGGCTGCAGAGGTTGAGCAAGGAGACTTGTTTCAGTTTAAAGGCTTTTGGGGAGAGATTTGTTAATATGCTGCATGTGATTGACACCCTCTTCCTTGCCCATACAGGAAGGGAGAGCATTTAGGGAACTTCAAGAGAAACACTCAGAATAATTGATCTATGTTCCTTTGAGTTTTTGAGGTACAGGTACCAAAAATTTGCCTCTAGAGGAGTGTCCAGAAGAAGCATTCTATATCAGAGGATGAAGTTTAGTACAGAGAATGGATTGTTTCCCCAAGAGGGAGCTAGTCTAGGCCATCTTTGATCCTTTAGAGAATTGCCCAATGGAGCAAATAGTCCCCAGAGAGGGAGAGGACCACTGGCTCTGCAGGGACTAAGGGAGGAATTAGAAGTAACCAGCTACACTGGGACAGTGAATGCATGAAGGAAAGAAAGTTAAAGATCTCCAGTAGGCCCATCTGTGCAAAGCTAACAAGAGCTCTCCACATACCCTTGAGAGAAAGAACTAGCTGTAAATACCCAATACATCACTGTTGTTGAGGGGAGGTGTGCCCTTCCTCCAATACCATTTCCTCTACCGTGAAGGATCTGAAACTACTGCCCGAGAGGACAAGGAGATGCAGGGAGAGCTGGAAGGCAAGCACATCAAGGGTCTCCCCTCTTCACTGCAGGGCTGGGAAGAATTTAATTAAATTATTAAATTAATTGATTTTGGTGACAAGGTCTCACTCTGTCACCCATGCTGGAGTGCAGTGGCATGATCATAGCTCACTGTAACCTTGAACTCCTGGCTTCAAGCAATCTTCCCACCCAGGCTCTTGAGTAACTGGGACAACAGGTGCATGCCAACATGCTTGGCTATTTTTTTTAATTTTTAATTTTTGTAGAAACAGGACTTTCTTTGCTTCCCAGGTTGGTCTCAAACTCCTGGCTTTGAGTGATTCTCTTGCCTTGGCCTCCCAAAATGCTGAGATTACAGGTGTAAGCCACTGTGCCCTGCCAAAGAAATTTTAAATAGAATAAGAAGAGGGAGTCATATAATTCTGACACTGGGCTGGGTATTTCCGGTTCCAAATTAAGACTCTTTTTGTGTAGAAAATGTTTGGTGAAATATTAATGAACTAAGGGTGATGAGAAAAGAACAGAAAGAACTTCTCCAAAACGTGCAGAGGAAGAACTAGCACATACGCAAAGTGGGTTTGAGCAAACAAATTAGGAGAAATAATTGTTATTTTCTATAGGGTTCCTTTTCCCCAAAGGATCTAGGTAACCCCTGCATCCTTGTTAGTTTCCATAGTTCTTTCCCCTCTTCTTCTCCTTTTCCCCCAGACTAGAATAGTCCAAGTTCATCAAACTGAAAATAAATATTTGCATTGAAAGTACAGAACATGACAAAATATCAGGTAAACTTTGATTCATTTTCTTCTGAGATGACTAAAAACATTTTAGTTATTCTCTCATTATTTCTACCATCAAGAAGAGATCCACATAGAGCTTAAAATACTGCATGGACATAGTAAGTGCACAGAAACAATTGGCTTTTTTTATTGCTTGCTTCACCTATTTTATTTACGTATGTAAACAACATTACAGAACTTTCAGTATGAATTCACAAACAATAGTATGCTACCAGGATACTAAATCTAAATTACAGAAGTGAATCCCAAACTATTCAGAACAAATATTATTCTATCACAACGAACTAAATGAGATATCATAAACTTGAATGATAAAATCTGACTGTTCCTTATATTATCTAAACACTCAGTGGAATATTGGGGTAGCAGAATATTTTATAGAAATATTACTTTGAATTAAAATATTTTTGTATATTCCCTGTCCTCCCCTGAGTCTAAGGGTATTATTGTAGAGCAAAAGTGGAAATATCCTGAAATCAATTATTCTTCCTGTCTTTTGGAAAAGTTTTAAATGGAAGACACAATACTGGACATCTCAATTATATAGGGAAACAAAGTCTTTCAAGGGTAAGAAGAAAGAGAAGTGCAATTCTTTAGAATGGAAAGAGTTCAATGGGTCCCATGAGCAACGGAGACTTGAGCCCTTCACAACAGAACACTGAGGAGAAGGTGAGAAATACGGTGCCTGTGATGTGTGCTAGTGTCTTAGGTACTGGAGCTGTCAACCTCAGCAATGAGGCCTGACTACTCACTTCTGGCACCTGGCACAGTCAGAGAGTTGCAGGACCAAAAGCAGAAACGTGGCTTGGGCCACCAAGATGTTAAATCACACCATAATAAGTCGGAGAGAATAAGTCCCTTCCTTGTTTTCTGGACATTCCATAAATATACCACATACTAGGGTCAAGCTGAGAAGAAATTTCCTACCAGCCTGATGGCATGGAGAATTGGAGTTAAAATTATTGTAGTTTATATCATATTAAGTGACATTTAAAATCAGCATTGCACATTTGCATGTTAGTGCTGGCAGTCGGCCTTTTCCAGCTTCTAGGTTATTATTTTCTAAGTCCACCTTCATTGTACAAACTATAGAAGGACCAAATCTTGGACAGAGAGGTGAATGCTTTCTGTGCCCAGGACATCTGCACTAAGATATTTCTTTGAATTTATCCTTAATAAGTTTATTTGTGTCATCATTGACCACTTTGCTTTTAAAGACTAGAGTATCAGAGAAAGTTGAATTCAGAAAATTCAAAACTTTGCACTGTAGGGAAGAAAAGGACAATATTTAGACTTGGGATTTTACTGTTCCTTAGGTATTAGGGTCCAGTCTTTCTCCAGTATCTGCAGTTAAGTCTCTGAAGACTTGATCTGGCTGACTCTGAAGTTACTGTAACATGGAAGAGTTCTGAGTTTTGAGTCTTTCTCACTTGGTAATCAAGTAACTATTAGACCGTAAGTCTGTTTTTCATTAGTCTTCCCTCTAGGTATTGGTAAATGTGCTAAGTTGTGGGGAGCTAAAAATGCTTACAGATTTCCAGAGGGAAAGATGTATTCTGGAAGAACAATTGACATTTGTCCAACAAATACTTATTAAGCACTTTTTATGTACCATACACTTTGTTGGGTGTCGAGGTTACAAAGATAAAACACATATGGTGCTCTCAACAGGCTCGCAGACCTGACATGAAAAGGAGTGAATGCAATGGAGGGGTAGGAGAAACTGCTAGCATCATATTGGCTTGGATTCAACTTAAGTGTTCTCCTTTGGTGGAAAGTATTTTCCACGAGTTACTTAAATTTATGTGCAAAAATGACTAAGTAGATTTGCTACTCCATTAATTTCTCTTCTCATAAAGTAATTCCTTTATGATAAGACAATCTTGTAAAATAGTATGGCCTATAGTTTTAGGTCATAATTTTATTAGTTTGACAAAGACTTACAGAGACAGAATGGGTAATCTGTAATGTAAAATCAATGTAGGACAAAGCTAGAGTATTTCTAAGTGTCAAAATAGATAATATCTCAGGTTAATTATGTGAAAGAATCATAATTGCGATATATCCTTATGTTGCTTTAACTGGAGGAACTAAAATAACTGTGGCTCTGATAGTTACAGCAGGCAGGATATATAGGCAATCTGAAAGTTATGAGAAGGCCCAAGTTGGACAGTAATAATTTAATTTTATATTTTTCATAGTAAAAATAATGATATTGACCTCTCACATAATGTAGCAAGTTTTTATGAAGTTTTAATTATTGAAAGAAAATAATAAGGCAGAATTTTGTTCATGTTGCTGTCAGTGGATAAAAACCAAGTACTTCAGAACTAAAATTAATGGTAAAATCTCAGGAATAGACTGGATGACATAATCTCAGGGGTAAATACTAAATGGAATTTACTTTATACATAGTTCTGCATCATGATTTGAAGTTAATTGTTAGATTTAGATATTTCTCTGTAGGTTATGAGTCGACAAGCATTCTAAGATGAGTCAAGAAAAATAAGCTAAACTGAGCACTATAATGTGTTACCAAGATATGCTGAAAATAACATGATTATTTTTATTATAAACTCACATTGTAAAAGGTATCTAATTTGACTCTATTAAGAGTAGCAATGGACAATACAGTGGCATGGTAAGACAATGCAACATGTGTTAGAAGATAGGAGAGTCTATGGAAGCTTTTCCACTGTTGCTGTTTGGCTTGGGTAAGCCATTATCCATTTTGTTCCCAAATAGACTTCTTTATTAAAAAATGGCATATATACAAATATATGTAGAAATCATAATTTTATATCTTGATTAACTATTACAAAATACACACACCCAGATAAATACCAGGCAGATTATGAAATGAATATTATTAGCATCGCAGAAGCTCTTCTCATGCCTCCAGCAGGTTACTACACAACTCCTCCTCCCCAAATATGACAAATATCTTGACTTCTAATACATAGCTTAGTCTTGCTAAGCTTTAAATGTAGTCAAAGCTCTAGATTTTGTCATTTATATTTATAATTTTTGTATTTTATCCATATTGCATAAAGAAATAATTCATTAATTTTCATCATTGTATAGTATGAATGTAACAAAATATATTATCCGTATATTTGTATTACTAGTTTGGGACCATTTATAATAGCACTCCTGTAAGCATTCTTATACATATCTTTGGTGAACCTACATAGGCATTTCTACCACTTAGAAATAGAAATGCTGCATCATGAGGTATTACTATTTAGCTTATTAGATGATCCAAAACAGTTTTTTTTTGCAAATTGACTTTACCAATTTGCATTCACATATTCAAGAGTTTCTATTTTTCACATCCTTTCCTGTGGTTGGTATTGACTGTCTTTTTCATTTTAACCATTGTGATGGGTGTGTAATGGTATGGCAATGTAATTTTATCTGTAATTTCTTGATTACTAACAAATTGTTTTTATATATTTATTGGCTATTTAGACATCCTCCTTTGAGAATTCATGAGCTTTGATCTAATTAAAAATCACTTATTCTTGGCTGACCGTGGTGGTTCAAGCCTGTAATCCCAGCACTTTGGAAGGCCAAGGTGGGTAGATCATCTGAGGTCAGGTGTTCGACCTCATCTGTTGGTCAGCCTGACCAACATGGAGAAACCCCATCTATACTAAAAATAAAAAATTAGCTGGGTGTGGTGGTGCATGCCTGTAATCCCAGCTACTCAGGAGGCTGAGGCACGAGAATCACTTGAACCTGCGCGGTGGAGGCGATCTCCGCTACTCAGGAGGCTGAGGCACGAGAATCGCTTGAATCTGGGAGGCGATCTCAGTGAGCTGAAATCGTGCCATTGCACTCCAGCCTGGGCACAAGAGCAACAGTCTGTCAAATAAATAAATAAATAAAAATATAAATAAAAAATAAGTAAATCACTTATTCTTTTAGTAGTCTCTTAAAATATACAAACATATTTTAATTATATAGTCTTTAATGTACATATCATCACAGATTCTGTGGTTAGCAGTTTGTGTGTCTTAATATGTCTTTTAATCAATGAAGTTTTTAATTATAAATCTAATTTGTCAGGTTCACTGAGATGTAATTTACATATCATAAAATTAATCTATAAAAATGTGTAGTTCAATATTATTTAGTAAGTTAGCAGACCTGTGCAACCATCCTCAAAATTTAGTTTTAGAACACTTCTATCACCCAAAAAGTTCCCTTATGCTTGTTTGCAGTCAATCACCATTTCTATCTTAGTGCCAGGTAGGTATACTTTCTATTTCTTTTATTTTGTCTTTTCTAGAAATTCTATACAGATGGAATCATACAATATTTAGCCTTTTGTGCCTGTTTTTTCATGTTCCATAATGGTTCTAGGTTCATCCACATTGTTACATGTATCAATATTTAATCCCTTTTTACAGTTAACTGGTGTTTCTTTTTATAAATTAACACATTTTGTTTATCCATTCAGCAGTTGATGGGCCTTTGGCTTACTTCCAGCTTTTGTCTATTATAAATAAAATTGCTATGAACATTCATGTCTACATTTTTGTGTAAGCATATGTCTTCAATTCTCTTGAGCTGATATCCAGGAATAAAATTTCTACGTCATATGGTAAGGGTACAGTTATCTTTTTCAGAAAATACCAGTATCTTCTGGGGAGAAATGCATATAAAGTCTTTGGCCTATTTTTTAATTGGTTTACTTATCTTGTTATTTTATTGAGTTGTAAGGGTCCTTTATATATTCTGGACACAAATGCCTTCTCAGATATATGATTTTTTAATTTACAAATATTTTCTTACATTTTGTAGGTTGTATCTTTGCTTTCTTGATGGCATTGTTTACAGTACAATAATTTTTAAATTTGATAAAGTCCAATGTGT
This sequence comes from Homo sapiens, assembly GCF_000001405.40. Lineage (NCBI taxonomy): Eukaryota > Metazoa > Chordata > Mammalia > Primates > Hominidae > Homo > Homo sapiens. The sequence goes on along the minus strand of NC_000002.12, from coordinate 17,215,890 downwards.
CTAGCTTTTTTTTTCTTCTGCCACTTATGCTTTTGGTATCATATCTAAGAGGTCTTTGTTGTTACTAAGGTCACAATTTATGACTATATTTTCTTCTAAGAGTTTTATGGTTTTAACTATTACATTTGGATCTGTGATGCATTTTTAGTTAAATTTTGGTTATGGAGTAAGGAAAGGGCCCTCTGTAATTATTTTACATGTATATATGCAGTTGCCCACATGCCATTTACTGAAAACATTATCTTTCCCCTTTGAATTGTCTCAGCGCTCTTGTTGACCATCATGTCATCGGCAAGGTGGCAGAATAGAAAATATCAGTCTTTCCTCTCCCACAAAAATCTACAATTAGATAGCTATCTATCAATGAAAATAGCCTCGCGGTGGCTCATGGGTCCGATTAAGAACCTGCAGTAACACGGTGAAGAAAAAAAAAAAGGAGAATATCTGCACAGAAAAGATGGTTTGAGAGATTTGAGTGCCTGAGACATCTGGAGATAGCTAGCAACAAAGAAGCAGCATTGAGGATATTAGTCTCAGCCACATGGTGAGTGCCACCATGGTCTCTGATGGCCTGCAGAGGACACAGGTAGCATTCACCACTGATGTAATAAAAAGTCATGGACTGCAGATGCTCTGGAGAAGGAGATGCTGCTATGCTCTGTCTCCTACCCCTAGAAAGAGGCACTGTTGTATCACCCTGGGATTGGAACCACCAGGCCACCCAATCCACATGTGCCATGGACCCCAAATCTGTGGCTGCTCCTTGCATGTTTGCACTCTAGACCCTTGCTTTGTGATCAAACTGTGCATACCCATGCATCAGACACTGGAGTTATTGTCACTGCAGGATAAACCTGCCATGAGCCCAGGACCATGGTTGTTCTGCATACACCTGTGCTCCGGACCCCAGCTCCACTGCTGCTCCATAAGCAAGTGTGACTCAGACACTGGAGCCACCACAGTGACAGGCTATCTTGCACATTGAATCCCAGAGCCACTGTCACTATACATGTGCTTATGATCCAGGTTCCAGCTGTGTGACTGTTTCATGTGCCATCATGAAAGTACCTGTGAACCTGAACCAGTGCCAAGAGAGATCAGGAGAATCTCAGCAGTCTTCACCACTAGAAACCCAAACATCCCCTGTGGCCACTGCAGACACCCACAGCCTTGGCAGCCGAATACTCCTGCAATATTTGCCAACACTGCCTCAGGTAACAGAACTGCATAAAAACTATGCCACTGTGCCCTCCCTGGAACTGGAACTGCTGGACACCACCCATTCGATGACCTTACATCCACCCATTTTGGGGATGTTTCCCTACTTATCCAGTCCGTAAAATCTGGAAAAGTTGTCTGCTCCATTGAATATGGAGATATCAATGCAAGGCAACAGGAACACACACACACACACACACACACACACAAGAAAACTGAAACCACCAAAGGAACACAATAATTTTCCAGTAACCAACCTCAAAGAAACAGAAATCTATGAATTTCTTTACAAGGAATTCAAAATAATTGTTTTAAGAGAGCCCAGGAAACAGAGAACAAACAGACAACTTAACAAAATCAGGAAAAAAATACATGATTAAAATGGAAGTTTAACAGAGAGTTAGGTTAGAAATCATAAAAAGAGCCAAACAGAAATATTGAAGCTGAAGAATACAAGGAATGAAAATTTAAAAATGCAATAGAAGGCCAGGCACGGTGGCTCATGCCTATAATCCCAGCTTTTTGGGAGGCTGAGGTGGGTGGATCACAAGGTCAGGAGTTTGAGACCAGCCTGGCCAATATGGTGAAACCCCGTCTCTACTAAAAAATACAAAAATTAACCAGGCATGGTGGCATGCTCCTGTAGTCCCAGCTACTCGGGAGGCTGAGGCAGGAGAATCGCTGGAACCCAGGAGGTGGAGGTTGCAGTGAGCCAAGCTCATGCCACTGCACTCCAGGCTGGGTGACAGAGCGAGACTCCATAAAAAAAGAAAAAAAATGCAATAGAGAGTGTCAACAATGGGTCAGGCATGGAGGCTCATGCCTGTAATTCCAGCACTTTGGAAGGCTAAGGTGGGCAAATTGCCTGAGCCCAGGAGTTCAAGAGCAGCCTGGGAAATATGGCGAAGTCCCAGCTCTACAAACATACACAGATTAGCTGGGTGTGGTGGCATGAGCCTATAGTTCCAGATACTTGGGCTGAGGTGGGAGAATCGCTTGAGCCTGGGAGATTGATGCTGCAGTGAGCCAAGATTGCACCACTGCACTCTAGCTTGGGTGACAGAACGAGACCCTGTCTCAAAAAAACAAACAAACAAAAAAAAGTGTGCCAACAATGGAACTGAACAAGCAGAAGAAAGAATCTGTGAACTCAGGCCAGTTTATTTGACAATATCCAGTCAGAGAAGAAAAAAAGAAGAATGAGTGTCTACAAGATTTATGAGATGCCATTGAAAACCATTTTTCATATTATAAAATTTTATGAAGAAGAGAAAGAGGGACAGAAATTTACTTTAAAAAAGGGTAAAAACTTCTCCAATCTGAGAAAAGATATGAACATCCATAAATAAAGCACTAATATTTTCAATGAGATTCAACCCTAATAAGAATTCACTAAGACATATTATAATCAAACTGTCAAAAATCAAAGACACACATAGATGGAAAGTGAAAAAATAGAAAAAGATATTTCAGACAAAACAGACATTATGTCAAAAATTGTGAAGGAGACAAAGATGGTTATTATATAATGATAAAAGGGTGACTTCATCAAGAGGTTATAAAATTATAAATTTATATGTACCCAACATCAGAGTACCTAGATCTTTAAAGCAAATGTTAATAGATCTGAAGGGATAGATAGACAGAAATATAATAATATTAGGGGATATCAATGTCCTACTTTAAACAATGGATAGATGATCCTGACTGAAAATCAATGAGAAAACATTGGACTTGAACTACACTTTAGATCAAATGGACCTAACAGATATATACAGAACATTTCATCCAATAGCAGCAGATACACATTCTCCTCAAGCATACATATTAGAGACATTCTCCAGTGGAGATCGTATGTTAGGCCAAACAAATCTTCACAAATTAAAGAAGATTGAAATCATTTCAAGTATCTTTTCATACTGTAATGGTATAAAACAGGAAATCAATAACAAACGAATTTTTGAAAAATCACAATTATATATAAATTAAACACCATGCTTCTGAAAAACCAATATGTCAAAGAAGGAATTAAAAGAGAAATTAAAAAAATTTCTTAGGACCAAAAAAATTGGAAATGCACCATAATAAAACTTATGGGATGGAGCAAAAGCACTTCTGAGAAGAAAGTGTATAGTAATAAATGTCTACATCAAAAGAGAAAGATTTCATAAAACAAGTTAATATTACACATCAAAAACTATAAAAAGAACAGACTAAGCTAATAGTTAGTAGAAGGAAGAAAATAGTAATTGTAATAGCAGAATTAAATGATATGGATTCTAGAAAACCAGTAGAAAAATCAATGAATATAAGAGTTGACTTTTGGAAAAGATAAAATTAACAAACATTTAGCTAGACTAAGATACGAAGAAGATGCAAATAAATAAAATCAGAAATGGAAGAAGAGACCATTAAAACTGATACCCCAGAAATACAAAAAAAGAGAATACTATGAACAAATACATGCCAAAAATTGAATAATCTAGAAGTAACTAGACACATACAACATAACAAGACTTCATCATGAAGAAATAGAAAATCTGAACACACCAAAAATGAGCAAGGAGATTGAATCAGTAATAAAAAGTACCTCCAATAAAAAAGCCCAGGACCCGATTATTTCACTGTTGAAACTGTGAAATAAAGGATGATATTTAAGAATTAATATCATCCTTTTCAAGCTGTTTAAAAAAATTCAACAGATGGTAACATTTTATGGTCATGTTATAAGGTCAGCATTACCCTGATACCAAAGCCAGATAAGGACACTATAAGAACAAAAAATTACAGGCCAGTACCTCAATACCTCTGATGAACATAGTTGTAAAAATTCTCAACAAAATCCTGGCAAGTGATATTTAACAGCCCATTAAAAGTTTCATACATTTTAATCAAGTGGAATTTATCCCTGGGATGCAAGTATGATTAAACATAAACAAATCAATAAATGTGATACATTGATTAATAGAATACAAGACAAAATCATACAATCATCTTAATAGATGCAGAAAGACTATTTGATAAGATTTGACATCTTTGCATAATAAAAACTCTAAAAAAATTAGATATAAAAGAATGTACCTCCAAAGAATAAAGGCCATATGTGACAAACTCACAGCTGATATCATACTCAATGGTGAAAAGTTGATCACCTTTTTCTCTAATATCAGGAATAAGACAAGAATGCCCACTCTCACCACTTCTATTCAACACAGTACTGGAAGTCCTAGCCAGAGTAATTAGAAACAAATAAAAAATAAAAGACATCTAAATGGATGGAAAGGAAGAAGTAAAATTGTCTCTGCAAATGACATTATCATATATATGGAAACCCCTGTGACTCTACCAAAAACCTTTTAGAACAAGTAAATGCATTCAGTAAAGTTGCAGGATACAAAATCAAAGCACAAAAATCAGTTGCAGTTCTATACACTAAAAATGAACTACCTGAAAAAAAGAAATTAAGAAAGTAATCTCATTCACAATAGCATGAAAAAGAATAAAACACTTAGGAATAAATTCCCCTAAGGAAGTGAAAGTTCTGTATGCTGAAAACTATAATATATTGATGAAAGAAACTGATGAAGATGCAAATCAATGGAAAGATATCCCATGTTCGCGGATTGGAAGAATCAATATTGTCAAGATGTCCATACTACCCAATGTGAACTAAAGGTTTAGTGTAATTCCTATGAAAATTCGAATGGCATTTTTCACAGGAATAGAAAAAAAAATCCTAAAATTTGTATAAAACTATAAAAGACCCCGAAAAGGTAAAGCACTGTAGAATAAGAAGAACAAAGACAGAGGCATCACACCTCCCAATTTCAAATAATATTACAAAACTATAGCAATCAAAGCATTATAGACCAATGGAAAAGAATAGAAATCCCCCAAATAAGCTCATGCATATATGGTCAACTAATCTTTGACAAAGATGCTAAGAATATACAATGGAAAAAAGATAATTGCTTCAATAAATGGTGCTGGGAAAACTGGTATGTACATGTAATTTAAAAAAGCAAATTGTATCCTTGTACCATACAGAAACTCCAACTGAAAATGGATTAAAGATTAAACATGAGACCTGAAATTGTAAAACACCTAAAAGAAAACATGAAGAAAAAGCTCCATGGACATTGCTTTTTTTTTTTTTTTTTTGAGACGGAGTCTCACTCTGTTGCCCAGGCTGGAGTGCAGTGGCGCGATCTCGGCTCACTGCAAGATCCGCCTCCCGGGTTCACGCCATTCTCCTGCCTCAGCCTCCCAAGTAGCTGGGACTACAGGCGCCCACCACGACGCCCGGCTAATTTTTTGTATTTTTAGTACAGACGGGGTTTCACCGTGTTAGCCGGGATGGTCTCGATCTCCTGGCCTCGTGATCCACCCGCCTCGGCCTCCCAAAGTGCTGGGATTACAGGCATGAGCCACCGCGCCCTGCCTGGGCATTGGTTTGGACAAAGATTTTTTGGCTACGACACTAAAATCATAGGCAACAAAAGTAAAAATAAATAAGAGAGACTACATAAAACCAAAAAGTTTCTGCACAGCAAAGGAAACCATCAGTAAAATATAAAAGAACCCACGGAATCGAGATAAATGTTTGGAAACTATATATTCAATGAGGGGTCAATATCCTATATATATTAGGAACTAATACAACTCAGTAGAAAAACAAAACAAAACAAAACAATTAACCTGATTAAAAAATGGACCAAGGACTTTGAATAGACATTTTTCCCAGGAAGACGTACAGATGGCCAACAGGTATATGGAAAAGTGATCCATATCACTAATCCTCAAGGAAATGCAAATTAAAATCACAAGGAGACATCACTCACACCTGTGAGGATGGCTATTATCAAAAAGTCAAAAGATAACAAGTGTTGCCAAGGGTGTGAAGGAAAGGGAACAGTTATATATTACTGGGGTGGAATGTTTGCGGAATTGTTTGTGACACCACCATTATGGAAAACAGTATGGAAATTCCTTTAAAAATTAAAAATGGAGCTACCATATAAACCAGAAACTCCACTTCCAGGCATTTATCCAAAGGAAATAAAATCAGTGTCTCCAAGAGATATCTGTACTCCCATGTTCATTGTAGCATTATTCACAGTAGTAAAAATATGGAAGAAAGCGAAGTGTCTATCAGTGAGTAAATATATAATAAAATTGTTGTGTATATACATAGATAAATACAACAAAATATTATCCAGCCTTAGAAAAGGAAACCCTGCCATTTTCAACAAAGTGGATGAAACTGGAGGACATAATGCTAAGTGAAATAAGCCAGACACAGAAATATGAATACTGCATCATCTCATTTATATGTGAAATTTTAAAAAGTCAAACTCATAGAAACAGAGATTAGAAGGATGGTTGCTAGGCATCAGGGGTGGGGAAAATGGGGAGATGTTGGTTAAAGAGTACAAACTTACAGTTATAAGATAAATAAATAATGAGTTTTTTCCCTTAGGAATGTAAGTTTGGGGCTGCTTTTGTCAAATTTATTTCTAAATGTTTTATTATTTTTGATACTATTGTATATATTTTCTTAATTATATTTTGTTAGTCATTGCAAATGTGTAGAAATAAAATTGATTTTTGTATGTTGATCCTGTATTCTGCAACTTTGCCAAACTTGTTTATTGGTTCTAATAGATTTTTAGTAAGTCCCTGAGAATTTCCGGTATGCAAGATCATGACATCTGTAGAGATAGTTTTACTTCTTTTTATTTCCAATCTGGGTGACTTTATTTATCTATTTTGCCCAGTGGAACTGAGTAGAACTTCCAGTATGATGCAGAATAGAAGTGGCAAAAGATGATACCTTTGCTTTTTTCTGATCTCAGGAAGAAAGCATCCAGTCTCTCGCCATATGTACAATGTCAACAGGGGGTTTGTTGTAGTTTTCCTTCATCATTTTGAGGAATTTCCCTTCTATTCCCAGTTTGTTGAGTATTTCTATTGTGAAAGAGTGTGAATGTTGTCAAACATTCCTTGCATATTTATTCTATGTCTGTTGAGATCATCATGCGGCTTTTGTTCTTCTGTCTATTGATATTCTCTCTCTCTCTCTCTCTCTCTGTCTCTTCCCCTCACTCTCTCTTTTTGGTCATGGACCAAAAGCAAATTTTTATAATTTGCTGGAATCTGTTTGCCTGTATTATGTTGAGAATTCTGCATCTACATTCATAACAAAGATTGCTTTGTAGTTTTCTTTTCTTGTCATGTCACTGCCTGGTTTTGGCATTTGAGTAATATAAGTCTCATAAAATAAGTTGTGAAGTATTCCTTCTTGTAGTGGGTTAAATATTGTCTCTCCCCTCTTCCCCCGACTCCAAAAAAGTCTATGTCCTAATCCTTGGAATCTGTGAATGTTACTCTATTTAGAAAAAAGGGTTTTTGCAGATGTAATTATGTTAGGAATCTTGAAGTAAGATCCTGGCTAATTGTCTTTGGATTGAGGTGGGTCTACTCCAATGACAGTGTCCTTCTAATAATATACAGAGGTGAACAGACGGCAGAGCAGAAGATATAGAGGAAAAGACACAGTGAACATGGAGGCAGAAATTAGAACGATATGGCCATAAACCGAGCCTTCAGTTTTATTTACAAAAGCCCTGGTAAAGCTTAACTTTGACTGACTAGAGCTCTATCTTCTTTGGTCAGGTCCATATCTATGTTAACTGACATGGTTGTATGTTGTAGGCAGGCTTTCTTGCCTTGATCCTTCCCTCTGGCCCAGCAAGGATAGTCGTTTATTAGTATCAGTGCTAATATGTTAAAAATGGCTCAAAGTGCTTCATCCCTTTCTACAGTTGCTTAAAGTTTAGTCTAAAGATATAGGTTTTCTGATCCATTTACCATGTTCTGAGACTGCATTTCTGTTACTCTTCAGCTTGTCACTTCTGTTCTTTAATTACTACCATCCCAAACTTTATAGAATTCTAGCTCCGGTATATCTGCTTTCAACTCCTTTCCAAATGTGTCCTGCTTTATAGATTTACTGTGATGGGTGAGAGGGCAGAGTGTATCTCCAGGTTGATTTTTTTTTCTCTAATTGTTTTTCTATTTACTCTAATTGTTTTCCTGTTTCTCAGTACATATGCTTCATTATTCATTTATTCACTCATTCACTTAAAAAACATTCATTAAGCCCACTATATTGTGCATTGTATTATACTAGGAGCTGGAAATAGAAAGATGAATAGAATAGCTCTTCACTTCAAGTGTAGCCATATATATATATATGGTAAAAAATGCAACCAAGCCCATAAGCCCAGATGCTATGGGAACATAGAAGGAGACACTAGACACTATGTCCCCATACTTGACCTTAGAGTGCCAATTGAGCTATGGCTTGTTACTTATTGTTTCCAACCAGTTGAGTGCTCTATAATCATTTCAGTCAAATGTAGTGAAATAGTTAATTATCTTCTGTGAATTTGAAGAGCATTATAATAACAATAATGATAACAAAAATGGTGAGTGCTCAGCAAGTATGTGTAATGAAGGAATGAGTTTTATAGATGAAAAATCTGAGGCTTGAAGGGTTAAATAATTTACACAAGTTCTGGGTTAGTAATTGACAGAACTGAAACACAAAACTGAGGTTGACTATTTTCAATAGCATGAATTCCCAAATACTACATGTTCTGCATATTTAGTTGAGCCAGAATGTAGACAAATACATTTTGTCAGTGTTTACAACCCAAAACTACTTTGTAACTAAGAACACTCTTAATGGTAGTCAGGGGAAGTTTTCAGTTTTGAAGTATGTGTGCCAAGTCACCAAAGACAAAAATCTCCTTTTATTATGATATTTAACTAATTACTTAAATGTAATAGAGGTAGATGTAAAGTATTTTTAATAAAGAAGGCTTTTTATTTTTGAAGACAGTTTGAGATACAGATGATATAAAAATAGAATATGATTTCTTA